>NC_000013.11:79783671-79936512 GCF_000001405.40 Homo sapiens
AAATACCTATTTTAATATCATTTATTGACTATTCATTTAATTGTAGGCCTTTCAATACCATACGTGTTGTTTCTACATTCATCAGAAGAGTTTAAAGTATAGACTGTCTCATGTAATGCTCTGAGCAAGCATTTTTCCGTATCTTCTGTGTCCATTTTCAAGCCTGTAAAAGAATTTTTAGTGGCTAGGTAAGCGATAGTTCAAAATCAATGTTTTTCATCCATAAAGAAAGTAACCCTTTACAGAACAGGAAAAAGAGATCACTCCATAATAGCAGAAGAAAGAAAGCTAAATGAAAGCTAAATGCAAAAAGACACTAATGCAATGTGTTACAAGTGAAGGTAGTGGTCTGCCATTCGAAGAGTGGTGAAGTATTTTCCTGTCATCATCAGTACAATAGGCAATTAGTGATTATCACATTGAAGTATACCATTACTTTATTCTTTTCAGTAACTCAGATTTATGTACGTTTGCCTATCACTCATCAAAAAAGCTCTTTTTAATTTATTCACATTGTTACTCTAAAATAGTTAATTAGATTTAAAAAAGATGTGAATGTATTTTAAATTATCACAGCTTCTTTTGGGGAGGTTAGAATATGCTTCTTGAGTGCAGTGAATCTTCCAGTTCTACCTTCATTCACCTTTTATGCTCCAGGGAAAGAGTAGACTGTACCAGCCTTGACTGGAAATTTATGTTCTTAACAAAATAATAGTGATAGAAACATCTTCCTGAGAGCCATTAAGATATTTACATTTGAAGTCAGTTTTTCTGACCCAGTCATAGATGGTCACATTCATTTCTGATAGGCAAGATGCTGCCCAGGCTCTGGAATCAGACAGCTTGGGAGCAACTCTCAGTCCTGCCACCTACTAGCAAGGCAAACCTTGAGTAAGTTTTCTGTGCCTCAGACTCCCAGTCTATTAAATAGTGGTAAGATGAATAGTACTTAATTCATAGGGTGGTGTAAGGATTAGATGGATGTACACACACATACACTTCAAAAAAGTGTCTATCACATACTAAGCAGTCAATAAATGTTAACTGCTGCCATTATTAATACCAACCTCTTTCCTTATCATATCACAGTTTACCCTTTTATACTCATTTGTATTTCCATAGAACTTATTCTAGTTTATATTGTTATATGTGTGTGTTGACTTATTTATTTTATAACAAAACTCTTTCCCTGTCTTCCCCTAACCTAAGACACACACACACACACACACACACACACACACACACAACTATAGGCTTTATGAAATCATGGACTTGCTGAGTGAATGCATTTGTGTAGATCTAGCCTCAGAGACAAAAAAGAACCAAGGGTGAATTTTAATAAATTAATCCCATAATGGGAAAATGCCTGATGTATACAGTTTTAGGAACAGGATGATTACTGTTTTAAGAGATATCTATGTTCATCTATATTGTAAAGGTTATGCCCATGCCCTGGCAAATCTTACTTTGATGCTATTGCCACATAATTAATTCTATTGGACTGATGATTCACAGTTTCTGTCCTATATATCTATTATGATAATCTCAAGATTGAGTTGTTTATTTTAGGGCTCATATATTAAGTTCCGTGTAATGTACAATGTTCTTAATAAAAATTGACATGAATTTAAAGTATTGTTTAGAGTTTCTATAAGTTGAACTTTAATTTTTGGTTAAAATTTTTTCCTGGTAGTTAACTGGGGAGGAAAGGGGTGATAGGGAAAACTATGGTGATAAAACCATAGAGCATCTAAAATCCAACCAAGATATATTTGAGTGGACCAAATTTTAAGCCATTTCAAGAAACATCCAAGAACTTCTACAAGAAAATTTTCTTTATAGCTGCATCCCATGCAGTTTCTGGAACTACAATGATTTCCACGTTTTTGTTTTGTTATCCTTGCCTTGTTTATATATTTTTTGGAGGATATGATGGAATTGGGGAGCTTATAATACTTGTAACCTCCCTTGGAATTAACCTTGCAGACAGATGGACTCAGGTAAGGAAATTAGAAGTGTCTGTGAACAAGAGAGGAAACATAGCTGATACATGGGGACAAACTAGGTGCTCCTGGGGACAAAGTGGAGGCTAATCCGAAGGCCTTAACCACATTGAGGCTTGAAAGTCATGTCTCAATTCTTACAAATGATGGACTTCAGTCTGCCCGGGGCAGAAACAAACTGTGGGTCATTGTGGGAAAATCAGACATTTTAGAGTTGAAAATGTTCCAAACCACCCAAAAAAGCATTTATTATGAGGAGAAACAATCTGATGCCTATCATAAGTCCAGCTTCACTCAGACTCATTGATATACAAAATAATTCACTCCACCTTAGCATTAATCGACTTGAATTCTATTTTTTTATAACTTCACTTATAAACAGAATCTCCCTGACCCCTGAATCACTCATTTTGGAAAGGAGGCAATCAGCACATATGATACACGCTGTTCTGGGATTACATGTATTCTCTCATTTAATCCATAGCATAGCCAATCAATATCAGTATTTTTATTTTCATTTTTGAGATGATAGCAGAGACTAGTTTTAATAAAACAAAGTTTTAGTAGATGAATAAAGTAGTTTTAGCAGAACAAAGAAGTCAAGTTCATTCTAATTTTTTTACAGTTCAGAGATAGGATTTTTAAAAAATGTTCCAAACGTGCTGGCTCCTGAAGGAAACCAAGTGGCAGTTTCGACACTCACCGTGACACATGGGGTAGGCAGTTGTGTTATGTCACCCCTATAAAAAGGGCTTGAAGGAAAAAAAGATTAGGTTGCTCTGGCTTTGCAGGCACATTTTGGATTTGGAGAATATAAGGTCTTTTAAAACTAATTAATTTTTTAATTGACAAAAATTGTATGTATTTATTATGTACGACATAATGTTTTGAAATATGTACACCTTTGTGAAATGGATAAATCCTACTAATGAACATATCTATGATTTCCTCCACTTATTTTTTTGTGTGGAAAGAACACTTAAAATCTACTGTCTTAGTGATTTTCAAGTATACAATACACTGTTAATAACTATAATCATCATGCTGTACAATAGATCTCTTGAATTTGTTACTCCTACCTAACCAAAATTTTGTATCCTTTGACCATGATTTCACCCAACCACTCTCATACCCCCAGGCTCTGGCAACCCCCATTGTATTCTCTACTTCTACTTCTTTTAGATTTCACATGCAAGTAAAACCATACAGCTTTTGTCATTCTGTGCCTGCTTATTTCATTTATCCCAGTGTCCTCCAGTTTCATCCATGTTGTCTCAAATGACAGGATTTCCCTTTTAAAGCTGAATAGTAGTTCATTAGGTATATATGCCACATTTTCCTTATCAATTTATCCATTGATGGGCACTTAAGTTGACTATTGTGAAAAATGCCACAGTGAACTTCAGAGTGCAGATAATCCTTTGACTTAACTGATTTCATTTTCTTTGGATATATATCCAGTAGTGGGATTGCTGGATCATATAGTAGTTCTATTTTTAATTTTTTGAGGAACCTCCATACTGTTTTCCATAATGTCTGTGCTAATTTACATTCCCACCAATACTGTGCAAGGGTTATCTTTTCTCTACATCCTCACCAGCATTTGTTATCTTTCATCTTTTAGATAATAGCCATTTTAGCAAGTGTGACTTCATTGTGGTTTTCATTTCTCTGATAATTACAGATTTTGAGCATTTTTCCTAATACCTGTTGGCTATTTGTATGCCTTCTTTTAAGAAATGTCTATTTAGATCCTTTGTACATTTTTAAATTGGATTGTTTTCTTTCTATTGAGTTGAGTTGCCTATATATTTTGGATATTAACTTCTTACAGGATGTATAATCTGCAAATATGTTCTTCCAGTCCTTAGGTTATCTCTTCACTCCATTGACTGTTTCCTTGGCCGTGCAGAAGCATTTTAGTTTGAAGTAATCCCATTTGTCTATTTTTGCTTTTGTTGCTAGTGCTTTTGAGTGCATATCTAGAAATTATTGCCAAGACCAATGTCATGAAGTTTTCCCCCTTGTTTTCTTCTAGTTTCTGGTCTTTAAGTTTTTAATATATTTTGAGTTTATTTTTGTATATGGCATAAAATAAGGGTCTAATTTCATTCATCTGCATGTGAATATTCAGTTATCTCAACATAATTTGTTGAAGAAACTGGCTTTTCTTCATTGTATGGTCTTGGCACCCTTGTCATAAATCAATTGACTATAAATGCATGAATTTATTTCTGAGCTCTCTATGCTGCACCATTGGTCTATGTTTATATATTTTTTTCTAATACCATGCTGTTTTAATTACAATAGCTTTGTGCTATATTTTGAAGTCAAATAGTATAATGCTTCCAGTTTTGTTTTTGTTTAGCTCAAGATTGCTTTGGCTCTTCAGGGTCTTTTTTGGTTGCATGCTAATTTTAAGATTTTTTTTTCTATTTTTGTAAAAAAAAAGTGATTGGAATTTTGATAGGGATTGCATTGAGTCTGTGGATCACTTTGAATAGTATGGACATTTTAACAATATTCTTCCAATCCATGAACATGGGATGTTTTTTCATTATTTTGTGTCTTCTTCTATTTCTTTTATCAATATCTTACAGTTTTAAGTGCATAGGTATTTTACCTTCTTGGTTAAATCTATTCCTAAGTGTTTTTATTTTTTCTATAATTTTAGTCATTGTAAATGAGATTTAAAAAATTATCCTTGGGTAGTTCTTTGTTAGTGTATAGAAATGCTACTGGTTTTTGTATGATTTTTTATCTTGCAACATTACTGAATTTCTTTATTAGTTCTAACAGTTTTGGATAAAGTCTTTAGAATTTTCTGTATATAGGATCATGTTGGAGGTATACACATTGGAATGAATTAGGTGAACAACTTGACCTGTAAAGAATGGAGAAAAGCAAGCCAGGATGACTGCCCACCTGGGACTGACACAGAACCAGGGAAACCTCTCCCACCCAGGGAAGTGGTGAGTGAGTGAGCAACCCCAAGAATCCACACTTATCCCATAGATCTTTTCAACCCTTGGGTCAGGAGATCCCTTTGTGAACCCACTCCACCAGGGCCTTCAGCCTGACACACAGAGCTATGTGGAGTCTTGGCAGAACAGCTGGTCAGGCACATGCAGAGCCCCTGTAGCCTTGGATACCCAGGCTTCCCAGAAAAAGCAGCTGCAACTCCACCAAAGTGGGGGGTTAGACCCCTGTACGTACCCCTAGGAAATGGACTGAATCCAGGGGGCCAAGAAGTGATGGGCTGCAGGTCTTACTTGCACTGCACCTCACAGGATAAGGCCCACTGGCTTGGAACTCCAGCCAGCCACTGGTAGCAGTGTTACACCTCCCTGAGACAGAGCTCCCAGTGGGAGAGGCAGACCACCATCTTTGCTGTTTCACAGCCTTAGCCATTGTTGCCTTACGGTTCTAGGGAATCTGAGACAACTAGGGACTGGGACAGTCCCTCAGCACAGCCCAGAAGATTTAAGGAGAAGCGGTCAGACTGTTTATTCATGCAGATCTTGATTCCTGTCTCTTCACTGGGCAGAATCTTTCAACAAGGGTCTCCAGTCACCCCCTCTGGTGTTTTCCAGTTGACAACAGTTTCAAACCACCCTGGGATGGAGCTCCCAGTGGGAGAGGTGGTCTGCTATCTTTGCTCTTTGGCCACTTTATATGTTCATGTTTTTGGGCTTTGGAGAGTCCAAGGTGACCGGGAGCTGGAGCAGATCCCCAGAACAGCACAGCTGCTCTATGAAAATGTAGCCAGACTTCCTTTTTAAGCAGGTCCCTGATCCCCTTCTTCCTTACTGGTGGGACCTCCCGAACAGCGTCTCCAGCTACTCCTGCTGGTGTTTTCTGGCCAGCCCCAGATCCAAACCTCCCTGGGGTGGAGCTCCCAGAGGAAGGGGTGGCCTTCTATCTCTGCTGTTTGGCTGCCTTAGCCATTCTTGCCTTTAAGCTTTGGAGAGTCTGAGATGACTAGGGGCTGGAGTAGACCGCTAGCACAGCACAGCTGCTTTTTATCTCTCCATTTCTGAAGGACAGCTTTTTTGAGTACAGTAATTCTTGCTTACCAGTTTTTTCCCTTTAGCATTTTGAATATAACATCCCAGTCTCTTCTAGCCTTTGAAGTTGCTGCTGAGAAATCCATTGCTAACCTTACTGAAACTCCCTTATATGTGTTTGCTTATCTTCTCTTGCTGACTTCAGGATCCTCTTTTTGTCTGATTTTTAACAGTTTTATTTTAATGTCTTGGTGTAGTTTCGTTTGGATTGAGTCTGATTGGAGACTTTTTACCTTTCTGTACCTGAATATTTTAAATCTTTTTCCAAATTTGGAAAGTTTTCTTCCATTATTTCTTTAAATAAACTTTCTACCCCCTTGTCTTTCTCTTTTTTGAAATGAACTATAACTAGAATAGTTGCTGTCCTATAAATCCTGTAAATTTTATTTCTTTTCTTTTGTCTTCTCTGATTTTATATTTTTAAATAATCTGTCTTTGAATTCAGATTCTTAATTCTGGTTTATTCTTGCATTGATGCTCTCTATTACATTTTTAAATTTCTATTCATTTTATTATTTTAGCTCCAGAATTTTTGTTTGATTTTTAAAAAATATAATTTAATCCCTGTGTTTAATTTGTCATTTTGGTCATTTGTTTATTTGATTTCACTGAATTGTTTTTCTGTATTTTTTTTGAAGTGTACCAAGTTTCTTAAAACAAGTATTTTGAATTCCTTGTCAGGCATTTCATATATTTCCATTCCAATATCAGCTACTGGGAGATTATTCTGTTCTGTTGGTGGTGTTATGTCCTCTCGATTTCTCATGTTTCTTGTTGCCTTACAGTAATATCTGCATATGTGAAGAAGTAAGGGCTTATTCCAGTCTTTGCAGAATGGGTTTGTTTAGAAAAACTTCATCGAACAGCCAATCCAGAGATTCTAGGCAGGCTGTCTGATGTGGTCTGCGGGTAGGATTGCTGCTGGAGTCCTCAGGTGGGCTGGTCTGGTGCCTGGGTCAGCAGGAGGATTGGCCAGGTACCAGAGTCTGGAGGTTTGGTCCTGGAGCCCGGATCCACTAGGGTGGACCTACTGATTGATTGATTGATTGATTGATTGAAAGATTCAATCAATAGGTGAGAGAGCCTGTACCATGTATCTGAGGGGGATGGCTGAAACCTGAGTCCATAAGACTGACCTGGCACTGGGGTAGGCCTTAAGTCTGAGTCTACAGATGTTGGCCAGGTTCTGGGATGAGTCAATACCTGGGTCCACTGGGACGTGCCTGGAGCTTGATTCCATAAAGGCTGGCCTGGTGCTGGGGCAGGTCTGGAAACTGAGCCTGTCAGGGTAGGCCCAAATCTTGGGTCCAGGAGGACTGGTCTGGAGCCTGAGTCTGGAGGGATGTTGACAGATCCTCGGTCTGTGGGAGTTGGCCTGGCACTGGGGCCTACTGGAGTAAGTCTGAACTCTGAGTCTCCTGGAGAAGGACTTGACCCTTGGTTTACTAAATCCTGGAGCCATGAGGACCAGCTTGATGCTGGGGCAGGTGTAGAGCCTGGGTCTCTGGTGGCCAGCATGATGTCTAGGATCATGAGTGCTCTCCTAGGGCCTAGAGCCATGGGAACCAGCTGGGAGGCTGTGTCTTCTGGAGTTAGCCTAGAGGCTGGATGTGTGGGTGCTGCCCTGGAGGCTAGGCCCATGAGGGCTGCCTTGGGTCCTGCAGGCTTGCCTGGAACCTGAGTCTGTGAGGGCTGGTCTAGTGCTGGGGTCCACCAGGATAAGCCTGAACTCTAGGTTCTGCTTGAAGTTGCTGTGGGTCTGTTGCAGCATGGGGCCACATGTGCTAACCTACAGAGTGGGGCTGCAGTATCTACCCAGGCACTGGGCAGGCCTGAAGTCTGTGTTTGCAGGTGCCATTCTGGTATCTGAGACCAGGTGTACTGACTTGGTGCTGGGGAGGGCCTAGGACCTAGGGCTGTGTGGGTAAACCTGGTTCTGGGCTAGCCTGAAACCTGAGCAGGCTGCAGGAGCTGGACTGGAGGCTGGGTCCATGGTGCTAGTCTGATGATTAAGACTGCAGAGGTGAGTCTGCTGCTGGGGCAGGCCGAAGTTTGGGCCACTGCAGCCACTCAAGTGCTGGGGGTGGTCCAGGCTTGGGGCCACTGAAGCCAGCCTGGCCCTGGGGTGGGCCCACAGGCCTAGTCCACTGGTACTGGCCTGAAGTCTGGCACAATGGGGGCCTGCCTGGCACTGGATTTTCCTGTGGTGGGCTTGGTGTTGGAGACCAAGGCAAAGTTTGGTCCTCGCTTTCCTCTCTTTCCCCCATGTGGAAGGTATCTCTTTCCACACTGGGCTGCCTGGGGTTGGGAAACTAGTGACTTAGGTAATGTGAAATTGTCCTTCCTAGCTGCTCCTATGTGTCTCAAAATTTCTGTGCTATACCCAGGTGTTCTAATCTCTCATCTGGTATCCTTAGCTCTTGTGAAGGTGGTTTTGTGGATAGTTAGTTGTTCAAATTAATATTTCTGCAAGAGGAGCAAGTGTTACCAAGTCCTATTTTACCACCTTGCTGACATCCACTCCTGGTCTTTCTTCTTCTGCGCATTGCTCCCTACAGCAGCTATCTTAGCAACAGCTGTATTAGTCCTGGGTATAAAGTTTCAGTTATGCAAGATGAATAAGTTCTGGAGATCTAATATATAGCACAGTGACTATAGTTAACAACACGGTATTGCATACGTGAAATTTTCTAAAAGGGTAGAAGGTAAGTGTTCTCATTATACACACACAAAAAGATAACTGTGAGGGGAAGGATATGTTAAGTAGCTTTGTTGGGGTGGTTATTTTACAATGTATACATATGTTAAAACATCAAGTCATACACCTAAAATATCTACAATTTTTATTTGTTGGTTATACCATAATAAATCTGAAGGAAAAAAATAATTAAGGTTGCAGCTGCCCAAGATGTGGTAGATTGATTGTAAAAGTGGCCCAAATTAATGGTCTCTCTTTATCCGTGCCCTTTGCAATGTGTCTTTGCAGTTACTCTCATCAAGGGTTGCAGTCTATTTTCCTACCCTTTGGATTTGGGCTGTATTTGCTTTGGCTAACAGATTGTGGCACATATAACATTATGTTAGTTCCCAGGCTAAATCTCAATAGGCCATGTGTAACTCTACAATGCTCTGGAAACTTTGCTTCTACCATGAGGACAAGCCCAAACAAGCCTATTGGAGGATGAGAGAACTAGGTAGTAGAGATGACTTGTCCCAGCTAAGGCCATCTCACACTGGCAAGACCCAGCCCAATCAACACTGACCAATGCATAAGCAAGCCCAGCCCAAATCAGCAAACTTGACCCAAATCAGCAGAACTACCAGTCAACCCATAAACTAATAAGCAAGAAAGTGTTGATTGTTCCATGCCCCTGAAACTTTATGGTTGCTTGTTATGCATCATTATTGTAGCAATAGCTAACTGATAGAAAAGATCATTCTGCTAGAGGGTAGTAGAGACAGGACCTACATTCTGAACCTACATTCTGCCTCTGGAGTCCATGCTCTTAACCACTACATAAGTGCCATCCTTGGAGCACTTTTTCCATAATCTAGTAGAAAAAATCTCAGCAAGAAATATATTTTGATAACTGAAATAATACAAGAACAATTTGTTAGTACCTAAAGAAGAAAGTAGTTAATTTTGTTTGGATGCAAGAGAGCAAAGAAAATTGTGTAATCAGACACTGTAATGGAGGAATTATCATCAGAGCTGTGTTTAGGTGGAACTATCCAGGTAAACAGGAAGGAGAAGGACTTTTTGTGTAGTCTATGTGAAAGAATCATTAAAAGCTTTTAATCTAGGAAATGCTACGATGATGTTCATGCTTGGAAAGACCAATCTGGCAGCAATACGGTAAATGCATTTGGAGGTGACTGTGATTAAAAGGAAGCGGAGCCTTCTGGTTCATAATAATATAGATAGGTCATAATATAGTGTTCTGAGGTCATAATAATACAGAATTCTGAAAATACTGAATAATGGCAATGGTGAAGATGGAGATGATAAAACATCAGTACTTCTTTGGGGGAAGAGTGGAGACAAAAGGCTTGTTGAGGAAGTGCTATTTGACTAGGTTCTTGAAGAATGAGTAGATTTAAAGACTTGGAGATGATATTTTAGTCTGAAGAAATGGCACAGATGATGCCATGAAGGTAAAGAATTCTAGATTATTCTCAAAATGCAGGTCTTATAGGTAAAGTTCATGTGAAGCCTAGAATACAAGGTTGATTACTGAAGAGAAATAAGGAACTGTTTCTAGGGTTATAAAGCCATGGACTATTAGATCTTTTTCAGATCAGCAAGTTGAGTTGAAGTTGTAATGTGCAAGGCCTTGAAAATTAGGCTAAGGGGTTTAAATCAATTTAGACATTCTTTGGAATCACTGCTAATTTGTGAACAGCTGTGAGCAAGCATTTTGTGAGCCATAGTTTATTTAATACTAGGTAGTTCTCTGGCATTTTGTAAGAGTCTGGGAGAGAGATTAAGATGCTTCTGGTGGTGGGGAAAATAAAATGTGGGTTTGAGACACATTTATGGGTTCTTGACCCAGAAAAACTTATGGGAAATTATATATGATTCTACTGACAAAATGACTTTAAGATATTAAGCTTTATTCATTGTCTTTAATAAAAATAATGCTGAGAACAAGGGACAGACTTAATTGTTTGAGTTTGGTTCTAGAAAACCTCTGAAATAGACATACGGAGCACTGAAACAGAACTGTATGTCTGGAGCTTTGGAGGAAGAGCAGGGATAGAGGATTAATTTGGTAGACATTCATTTTGAGGTATTATTTTGATGCTGCAGAAATAGATATTACAGAAGAAGGAAGGGAAGAAGGCAAGATACAGAGAAGATGACCATATAAATTTATCCTCCAAGGTGGGGCACTGTTGAGAGTGAAATGCATTATTATTAATAATTATGCCAGGACAACAAGCTACATTAGGATAGTCCCAAGGCAATTGAGATATGTTGACATATTAGAGAAAGAGGACAGACTGTGGAGGCTCTTTGAGGTTGGTGATTGACAAGGAGGAAGGGCTAGGAGAAAAAGTACTAGAATAGGGAGGGGTTGGCTCCTTTTTCTGAATCCGCTCCGAGTAGGGAGACTGAGCAATCAGGAGGTGTCTATTGAATTGGGCTAAAGAGCCTAAGTGAAGGGCTATGAGCCCTGAGGAAAGCAAATATCACTGGAGCCATGGTTTATTTAAAAGCTTCCACTCACAAAATAGTATCTGCTTTTGAGGGGTTAAACCTGGCTCTTCCTCAACTCTCTGCCACCTATATTTTTCTCATGTTAGAAAGAACTTCCTACTCTCTCCTTTGAAACATCTTTAGGCTCCTCCTCAGCATGTCCCAGGACAGTTTTATAGCTCTGTATGGAATGCAGATGGATGGCTGCCTGTTTCCATTTCATGCTTTGGATTTACAGGTGCAGGTTGTATAGCTTCTCAGCGTTACTGAAATTGGAAAACATTTCTAAAGCTTGCAGCATGTCAAGCCCTGTGATTTTGAATAAAATTGGATTTTACAGTCTGTTGTGTGGCTTTAATATTTCTTATGCTGAGAAAATTATAAAAATAAAGCAACACACAACAAAACAACTGCTCCGTGTGAAATGTCTTCTGTGTTTTATTTGAAAATAGTTTGAATTGGGAAGGTGAAACTGCTTTGTTAAGTATAAACTGTCATGAAAATATTAATTCCTATATGCTTATTTTTCTTGTGATTTAGGAATATCATGGTATCCAGTGCGTCAGGAAGGGGCACTCTATCATTGGGTGGTAGCTTTTAAACTAAGCTGCTTCTCAGGCAGGGGTTAGCTTGACCCTGGAGGGATCGTTTTATGGCTGATGTGGTAAATCACTTTGACACAAGATGGTTCTGAAAAGCTCTAGGAAATTTTCTTTGAGGTTCCTGGGCAGCTCTATATCTTGCCACTTGCCCTGGTTGGGTAATGAATCCCACTTATTCAGATGAAAAGTTCCGAGTAGGCAAAATCGTCATTTTCTACCTTTCCCCAGTTTTTTTCTCACCATAAAATAAGTTCCACTGAACTTTTTCTGTTCACTTATATCTATTATTGATCTGCTCAACCAAATTTGCAAAATTGAATGTTAAGCCCTTGGCACTGGCCAATGGCTTGTGTATTTTAAAAAGTACACAGTAGTTTAAGATGTTCATAATGTATCATTCATTTGTTGGAGGGTGGATGTATGCTCAATTTTCCAAGTAAAAAGTTACAAAAAATTTTCTTAAAAGATATATTCTTTAAGGTATCTACTAACTAATAGAATTCCACAAAAATGCTCTCAGAGTAGAGTGAAGTAAGTTACCATTATCCTGTTTGGTTGTAAAATTAAATAATCCCAAGTGTTTTGAATTGGATAAGGACTTTAAAGCTCATGTAATCAAACTCTCACCTTTCAAGTGAGGAAGTAGAGGCTGAGAAACAATGGAACTAGCCTACACCCACACCCACACATCCTGGTGGCCAAGTGAGGCCCAGACCCCAATCACTGGCATCCCAGCTCCATGCTTTCCCCACTGTGTGACCAGCATGACAGATGTCTCCTGATCAGAAAACCAGAGCACTTCAGAGAGCAGTTGTCTGACACTACGGGTGATATGTGAGCCAGCTGCATGGCATATGCTTTGTGTTCCTTAGAGAAAATTTCAGAAGCTCAACTGTTTATAGACATAGGGCACATTTTTGGATGCATAGGTCATTCGGAAATGGCAAAGATGCTCTTCAGGGTCACAGATCTGGCTTCAACACCTGCAATTTGTGTAGGTGACAAGTGGATCTTTGATGAAAGGTAGAGACATTTATAGGAAAGGAAGAATGTAAATTGTTCGCCATGCAAATATTTACCTGAATTGTCTTCCCTTAGTGAAGGAAGTATTTTAAGCAGGATCACTTGCTTCTGTGGTGTGAACTCCCTTATAGACTGATCAGTCTTGTCCTGCTTCCTTCAGAATACTGTGTGATACCATGATTGAGATGGCAACATGTTCAACGAGTGCTGCTCAATTGTTACATAGGTGTCTTGTGGCCATGTTTCCAAACCTCAAATCAAGACACAGTTTGAGTAGCCTGACTGTGCTCAGTGTGCCTATGAAAAAGAATATTTGAAACTATGCTGTTCATAGAATTCTGCAGTGAATGATTACCTTGACTATGCAGCTAAAGAGATGTTCATGGAAGAAAACGGGGATGGCTTTAGAAAGAATTTTGTGAAAAGACTTTAAAAAAAATGATGCACTCCAATTCTGCCTCTAATTCTCAAAAATGACACCCATATAGGTATCCAGAAGATACCTCTGCTATGAGTCCACAGTCCTCCTATTAAAGAGTCATTTTAACCATGAAATTGCAAAAATTTTAAGTGTACAGTTTGTTTAAAATTATGCAATTTGATTGTAAGTACTAAAGGCTCAAGTTCCAGTTGATTAAGAAATGACATTAGAAGCGTTCATAACCCCTTTGTATAAAATAGATACATAAGCACATATTTAGCTCTAAAATAATATTTGGATTGGTTTTGCCTCTTTGGTTCCCACTGGGTAGAATAAAATATACTGTCATGATATAGAAGAAAGACATATATACAAATATCTCCTTTTTTTCTTGGCGCTATGGCCATATGAACTTCAGGAAGGGAAGTTTTGATTCCTGAGCGCTAGCTGGAGTGCTGTTTTTGTGGCACCCTCCGCAAGACATCAAAATACAGTAGGGTTTTCTGGGATGAAATCTACAGAGCAGATCATAAAGGCTGCTTCTGTAAGGATGAATTTCTTATGGAAAATTCCTAAATATTTTGTGGAACTGAAGGAATGATACTCCACTCTATTGCAAGGGATTTGAGGATGACCCAAAGGTTGGGAATTAGGAGCAGCAATAATTTTTCTGGGGATTGCTCAGGCACATGGAAATGAACAAGGGCACTTCAGGAATACTTTCTGGCTCCTATCTCTGTTTTTGACTGCAGTGCATTCCCAGAATCAAAGTCTTCCATCCCCATTCCTTCTATTTTAGAGTCCTTGAATACAGGATCATTAACAATTTCCCAGAGCAATTTAATATAATAGAATTAACTCCTAGAAGAGAAGGGAGGTAAGAAGAGGAGGGAATCTGTAAAAGAAATCATGCTGCTCAAACAAAAATAGTGTTGAGCTTTCCAATAAAATTCCATTGAAATGACAATGTGCTCCCTGAACTCAGTTAAAATAGTTTAGTGGTTATAAGCAGATTATTTGGATTCTGTATTATTACCTATTTGTCCTTAGCCCATTGTTCAATCACCTTACACCTCAGTTCCCTGATCTATAATCTGGGAAATAACAAGGTCTCTCTCACAGGACTATTATCAGGATCAAATGAGACAAAGTACCTAGTTCAAAGCACATTTACAGGCTTACACCTGTAATCTCAACACTTTGGGAGGCCAAGACAGGCAGATTGCTTGAGTCCAGGAGTTTGAGACCAGACAGGACAATATAGTGAGATCTTGTCTCTACAAAAAGAAAATTTAAAAAATTCACTGGATGTGGTGATGCACACCTGTAGTCCTAACTACTCAGGAGGCTGAGATGGGAGGATAGTTTGAGCCCAGGAGGCAAAGTTTGCAGTGAGCTGACATTGCACCACTGCACTACAATCTGGGTGACAGAATGAGACCCTGTCTCAAAAACAAAACAAAGCACATTTACATTAGTGCCTGGACTTGGCAAAAGTTCAATAGCTAGTAGCTATATTATTGTCAGTATTATTACTACTAGTACTCTTACTACCACCACTGTAATATTATCGAGTACATGGCTATTTATGTAAACCATGGGAATTCTCAGTTATTCATTCAACATAAATTTTTCAGAAACATTATGTGTCAGGCTAAGGACTCAAGAGACATGATATGAAAGACACAAGCTGGGTGCAGTGGCTCATGCTTGTAATCCCAGCACTTTGGGAGGTTGGGGTGGGCAAATCACTTGAGCTCAGGAGTTTGAGGCTAGCCTGGGCAACATAGTGAGACCCCAGTCTCCAAATAATAAAATTTTAGAAAAGATACACATATCTACACATATATAGAGAGACACTGTAGTAACTGAATATAAAATGTATATAAATAAATATATTAAATATATATTTTTCATGTTTGGCTCAGAAGGACCTTTATTTTTGTTACACAGCAAAATGAGCTTTGGGTTTAGGGCATTACTGACACAAAGACACTGATAGGGCCATGGCCAGATGTCATATTTTTATAATTTAGTCCCATGACCCAATATTAAGAATTTAAATAAGCTTCAAATCAAGAAGGTCATCATAAGCTAATGACAAGTATTTTGACTTTATGTTAGAGCCAAACCGGAGAGGATGATAAAAAGAGTGAACTCAACTTGATTTTGTTTTTGTTGCAGCTGGATTGCTGTCATTTAGGAACCATTTAACAAACAGACAATAGACACATGGCTTTATTTATAGCAGTCTGGAGGGAAGGAATGCAGTCAATTGCACATGTCTTCCGCAGTAGTTTAGCTACAGAATTATCTCTGTCAGGTGGAGGATGCATTAGGCAAACATAAGCTCATTCTGGAATGTAGGCAAATTGATCTCTAAATGGGTGTGCTGGTGAATTAGGCAGGGCAATTTTACCTGGAAAGTGACAGTTTTACAAGTTGGAGAAATTCAGTGCAAGGAATTTTTCAAAAAAGTTCTTGAAATAAGCATCAGAATTTTTTAATTGTTCTGCCAATTCACAGATTTTGAGTTAAAATTATCCTAATGAATAATACCATTGATACTTCCCACCATGTGTGGGTAATGCCTGGCCTGTTTCAATTGCACTGCTCTGATGGTATCACACTTATACCCTTCACTCTGAAATAAACATTCTCCAAAGCTCTCAAACAGATAGTGCTCAGAGTTTTCCCCTGGGTCCTCTTTTGAATTAAATCAATTAGGAGAAGGCCATATGTTCACCATATGTATGTCAACTTGCCAGGGATTCTTAAAAAGAGACATTTAAAAAAAATCACAAATCACTTAAAAACACACAAACTGAGAAAGAATTAATCAACTAGTTAAATCTCTATATAAATCAAGACTTGATTAAAATTAGACAAGATAATGTCTGTCCTGATTATTATTATATTGTACTTCCATTTTTTTCTCATTCTCATATGCAATTAATTTCTCAGGCAGTATAGGGAATCATTCACTCTTTGTGAAGTTTTCTTTACCTGTTTATTCACCTGGAAAGAGTGAAATGATTGCCAGGCTATTGATAGTTAATCTTAACAAAATTCTTCAGGGTTCAATAATCCACAGATTATATGCACTAATATTTGGTAAGTATTTTTGGCTGTCCTTCGTTAACTGGATTGTGAAACTGCCATGGCATGTTAGAGTTGGGATGTGCAGAACAGGTCTCTTGGTCTGACTTCTTAATTGTACAGATGCTGTTATTTAATTTTGAGTCCCATAGAGTACCTCTCATGATGCTTGGCACATAGCAAAAATTCCATACATATTTTGAAAATGGAAATATTAAGAAAACTGAGGGTTAGAGAAGTGACATGAGCAAGGTTACCTAACTAGAGAACATGTCTTCTGACTCCTAAACATTTTGCTTCTACTACGAACACTAACGAATATTCTCTTCCATGGGTTACCATACCCTACTGTATTGTCACTCATGCTAAGTACAATGTTCTCACCAGGGCATTTCTCATAACTGTCCAATCCCATCTCACTTTTCTTACATGTCCCTGTGTTCTAGTCCATATGTTACCTGAATTTACCCTCATGTCTCCTTTTTTTTCTGCTTTTGCTTGAACTCTTCCCTTCACATTGTTCATTTTTTCTACCCATCTCTACTTTCAAAATCTTCTGGGCCTCTTAATGTGATTGGGGTGAATTCAATAAAGAGTAGAGAACTGGGACCTCATCTGGTTTAAAAGTAGTTGATTATAAACGGCAAATATCCTAGGTGATTTCCAGAAGGGTGGCAGAAGTATGTCCTTGAGTACATGCAGTGAGATGCATAGCTTTGATTAAGAGGAATCGAGGGACTAAGAATGTGGACAAAGATTCTTGAGTTAGTCTGGTTGGACTTAGCCCTGAAGAAAGGTAGAGGTACGTAGAAATTATTTTTAAGGCATCACTCTTCTTCCTTTCTCCCTTCCTTTTGTTCTTCCCCCAGATGCAGTCAAAGTTGTTCAGAGTTCTAGTGCTATCCCTATACTGGTTGGCTTTACAAAGGTCAAAATAGTACAAGTTCCTCTTGCTTCTTGGTTTTGTCCTATACCAAAAACAACAACAATGGCTATGTAGTGCTTCCCATGTGTCAGGAACTGTTTTAGAAAATATACGTGTGTGTGTGTATGTATGTATATGTATGTGTGTAAATATATATGTGTGTGTGTATATATATCTACACGTGTGTATATGTGTGTGTGTATATATATCTACACGTGTATATGTGTGTCTATATATCTACACGTGTATATATGTGTGTGTCTATATATCTACACATGTATATATGTGTGTGTGTATATATACACACACGTATAGATGTGTGTGTATATATATATTTTTCCCCTTTAGTCCTCATAGACAATTTTTGGAGTAAATACGTTATTCTTCTTTTACAGATGAGGAAACTGAGACATGAAGAGGTTAGACAACTTGGCTAGATTACCTAGCTAGTAAATGGCAGAGGCAGGATTTGAATCCAGTCAGTCTGGCTTTTTGGTGTGCACTTTTAATGGAGACATATACCCCTGATGTATATCCTCTTTTCCTCTAGGACCTGCCCACTGGGGTATGGTCAGTGGAGTATAGTTAATTCTGCTTCTACTTGTCTATTCTGGCTGGAATTTCTCTTTGGCTTTTGAAGAAATAAACTTTTTTCCTTTCTTTATGTCTTTTCAAGATTGAGTATAGTCCCTTTTATGCTAAATTTAGTTTTCACATAATTAAATTAACTCATTTAAATCACATTAAAAAGTGTTTTTACTTACTTTCCACTTTCAGTCTTATAAATTATTCAGTTAACTGTCCATGACTTTGACCTTAAATTTCCCATTTTTGTTTCTGCCTTCAAATCTCTTTGTTTAGTAGGAGTTCCTGCAGCTCTGCATGGCTGTATCTTTGGGCGGCACTCACCATAAAATGCAGTTGAAGCTATTTTGCTCTTCTCCAGGCAGACCACTATCTTCCTTTTCGATATCTTCTTTCAGATACCCATGATGACTGCTTGCATCTAAAAGTCCACTCATTGAGGGTTTTTTTTTAAATAACATCCTCCAAATATCTGAGATCTATTATTTACATGTTGAATGAGACGTTTTGGCTCCTAAGTTATGTACACGGGTACAGAAGAGACTTGGAGAAGAAATATATAATAAATTTATTTTTCTACTGACATTGTGGCAAAACAATACAGAGACAACTATGTTCTATATATTTTTATTTTGGCAAAGATCCTTGAATCGAGGTTGGGAAAAACATTGTTAACATAAAAATGATGGAAGTGCTTATAGTAAACTAGAATGAAGACAATGAAGGTAATCATAGGCAAGGAAAATGTGATAGTTCAGGTGAAAAACAAGGAATAGCTGTATAAGATAAATTTACAGTAAGAAATGCTGAAACATTTTGGGAAGAAGAATCACATATTTTATGGGGAGAAGCACTTATATTTGAAGAGGACATAGATTCAAAGAAAAAATAATGAATGGAATGGAAGTATTTCATTGTATTTTATCTCTTGCTATAACAGGAAGTAAATAGACAAAATGAAATTAACACTTGGGACTCAATGCCCTGGTGGGTTTCCTGGAACCTTGCAAAAGGAAGGGCCATATGGTAAGGAGTGCCTCTGTGACAACATAGGCTCAGCTGAAATTTCAAGGATTATAAATATTCTTGTTTCATCTTATAATTTGATGACCAGCTGGCATTGGGAAGTATAACATTGCACAATTAAGTGCCTATGGGTTTAAAAAAAAAAACTTCCTCAGTAGCATCCGGATTTGGCCCCTGAAAAACAGAATGTGGCACTACTCCAGGATAATCATTAATCTGCCTCAGTAGGGCATCTTCCCACATGGGGGCCCATCCATAATGGTCTGTTGTAGTGATCTGTCACACCATATGGGGAAAGATGAAACAAGACACTGAGCAGCAGAGGGACACACAACATAACTTGGAATCCTGGCAAAAATGGAAAAGAAGGAAGGAAGCATTGCGTATCATCTGTCCACCTAGCTGAGTAGAGGTCAAGTAGTTAATTACATGCCCATTGCTAGGTCTCAGAGTATCATACAGACATAGAGGGGAAAGAGAACCAGCAGGGAGAGTAAATCAGTGTTTCTGGAGAGGTACCAAATTAAATATTAGGGACCAGTTGAATGGGAGAGAATGAAGCTCCTGGAAGCCACTGCTATGCTATGTATACAGTGCCTGCTCATGTAGCAGGGGGATTACAGACAAGGGCTATAGGGATAGGATATAAAGCCATGAGTGTGTCTAACCGTTCTTTATTATGGTAGTTGATGAACTCTATGCCCTTTTACAGTTCAGTTTTTACCTATCCCTTGTCCCACCCTATGCTGCAGCCACACCAAACTACTTACAGTAATTCACATTTGTCTACTTGTTAGAGCTCAGGCCTGTCTGGAAGAGGAAGAAATGAATAGTTAGATGGGTAGTTGAGTGGGTCAGACGAATGCATGCATGCATGAATGAATAAATGCTTGCATGCAGCAACACTTCCCATAACAAGTCAGCTACTTAGCACAAATGGTGGCAGTTAGAGCGTTCATCTCCTGGAAACAGAGTAGGCAGGATGCTAAAGCAGGGCAGTAGCAGGTGAGGTGGGGTAGTAGACATAGTAAAGAGAAAAAAAATGATATTTTGGGGGAAATTGTGTGATTTTCTTATTTAAATCAGAACTTTCCCCATATAATCTACTTTTCCATGGTGCTTCAATTATTTAATACATGGTTTTCCATTAGCTTGCAACATTTTAAAACAGCAATCAAAGGTACATTTTTAATGCAACATGTAGGATTCATAGACTAACAGGTGTTAGGAAATGCAGACTGGGAAATGATTGCAATCAAATGGGATAGACGGTATTACAGCACATACTCCCTCAACCTTCTCCAGGTAAAACTGAACTAATGTCAGCTCAGCTGCAGCAGTGACAAAAGGGTTTGGTGACTGGGGGGAAGGAGAAGGGGTAAATAACCTGTCTTTAACCTTTCAGGAGATGGAGCTCACTCAGCAGGCAGGACCTCAGGGCTATGGGAGAGCAACTGCACTGTGCAAGCACAGCCAACAGGAAGTGAATGCAAACACATTCTCCTCAACATAAACACACACAGACTTCACCTATGGCTGAACTTCTGCCCTTGGGTGACCAACACCATTAGGACGCGGGTCAAAAGGTTGTAGTGTGACAGAAAATGCAGCCTTATTGAATGAAAGAGAAAATGAAAAATTCTTTTGTTTGCTTCACTTTGTGGTTTGTATAGCTACTGTGATGTCATAATGGAGTCCAGAGTGGGAAAAAGAAGTCCCTGCTATATCGCTGTCTGAGAAAGGCAGTCGGAAATTGTTAGGCATGAAAGAAAAAGTCGTATGGAAGACCTACACAAAATAAAAGCAAGTCTCATTACTTTTCAAGGGGAGTGTAGAAGCGATTAGTCTCTGATGATAATAAGGTATGAGAGCAATGTCAGAAAATTTCTCTTCCCATTATGCAGAGGATGGAGGAAATACAGATGCAGAGACACAGCTTGCTGACACACTCCCCTCCCTGCCTCTCCAAGGCACCCTCATCACAGTAGGCCAGGAAAAAAAATCTTATGCTTAAAGCTGTATGATCTGGGAGCACATTATATATATATTTATATATATTTATATATACACTTGTACACACACAAAAAAAAGTGTGTGTGTTCAAATATGTATGTATGTGGTATGTGTGTGTATTTCCAAATACATATATACAAATCATGTACAAAAAGGCATGTAAATATGAAGCTTACCCAGCAGATTGCATAACCTCACAAAGTGTAAGAACTGGAGATCTCATGGTGTGTTTGGCTATTACCATCCGTTCAAAATTTGAGCAAATTTGCAAGTTCTGGATGATTCTATTCCAGAATGTTTCTTCAGGGTAAAAAATTCTGATCATTTATCAGGGTAAAAACTTCTGACCATTTGACTGAGAATAGCCTGTGTTCAAATTCAATCTATCATTCTGTTGGTAAAGATTACATTTAAACAAAAAAAGAGACTACGTTGCATTGCTGAGCTTGTGGAATTCCAAAATGTCTGATTTTATTCTAGAACCTCTATTACTATGTGCCTTCTGATAGGTTGGATTTTAGGAACATATTGTTTCCTCTTACTATCTGAGCAAGTAATGAACTATTGATTTTCAAAATGAATTTATATTCGAGATAATTGAGCAGGTTTTTGGAAACACATAATACTATTATTTTTTAATGCAGTTTTCAGTAATCTGAATTAGAGCATTCATGATTTTTGTTTCTTAGGGTACCCCCCATGTAAAACTGCCACAAGCTCTCAGAAGTGAGACTTTAGCTCCTTACAAATGCTGAGCAGACGTGAACACCCTCCTGGGAGATTGATGAGTCCTATTAACCTTGTTGCATAGATGGAAACTCAGAAACAAAGTGACTCTGAGGATTAAGAGGAAGTCAATGTCAGCACCAGGATTAGAATTCACACTTGCCTGGTTTCTCAGCCCACAACCAGCTCCCCCATGGATTCCTGCTTTGTCTCCCTCCCCAAGTGAGGGGACAGGGTGTTTCCAAACTTTAAAAGAATCCTGTTATCCTCAGGCCTCTGCCTTGTAGGAAGATCCTTTCTTTTAATAAATTACAGAGCTGAGAAGTGACTTTGAGGTGATTTATTCTAATCTCCCTATTTTATAAGTGGGAACAAGGTCATAAAAATGCTAGAAACAATAAGAATGCCCAGTTTGCAGAAATATAATCGAGAGGCAAGTGGGTGTAGTGAAAAGTACTGGATAGAATAGGCTTTGGGGGCCTGGGTTTGAAGACTGGCTTTGAATCACTGAGCCTCAGTTTCTTGTCTGTAAAATGTAGAAAGCAATATTGCCTTCAGTGTTCTATGAAGATTAAATATGTGAAGTACATAGACGTTGTAGGCACTTCTTCAATTTTTTTGGCCATCCATGTTTTCATCTTCTTTCCTGTTGTACTTCTAAAATTTTTCTCTGTGAGAAAAACAATATTCAAATGTTCCCACTTAAGGGTTTAATCCCAGGTCAGTGGGATTTTGTGAGACTTTAGTTTTGGAACTTCGTTGAACCCAGTGTCAGGAATTAAGACCTGACTGTAGCCCTTGGCAGTTTAATGCCCAGAGTTTTCAGTGTTTTTCTCCAAGGTTAGCATTTGAAGAGCCCCCACACATAGAGTCCAGGGGGCCAGGCAGGCAGGTAGGTAGTCTGTGGAGTGGGGGTCACATCGAGTGTCAAAGTTCTGGAAGGTGTCACTCAATGGATGGGCACCGATGCAGATCCATAACTGAAATGTTTTCTCTACAGTCTGGGAGCCCCGTATTCCTTATTTGATTGCCCATTTCCTCATTGTCTTATTTCTTTTTTTTTGAGATGGAGTCTTGCTCTATCACCCAGGCTGGAGTGCAGTGGTGCGATCCCGGCTCGCTGCAACCTCTCCCTCCTGGGTTCAAGCGATTCTCTTGCCTCAGCCTCCCGAGTAACTGGGACTACAGGCACACACCACAATGCCTGGCTAATTTTTGTACGTTTAGTACAGACGGTATTTCACCTTGTTGACCAGGATGGTCTCGATCTCTTGACCTTGTGATCCACCTGCCTTGACCTCCCAAAACTGCTGGCATTATAGGTGTGAGCCACCTCGCCCGGCCCACTCCCCCATTCTCTTTTGCCAGTCCTCCAGAAGAACATCTACTTCTCACTAGACTAGCACACTCTTTGTTCTCTAATGAATCACTAAGCATACTTTGCCTTATTTCCTCCAAAAGGGGATTAGCAATTCATCTTCATGAGTCTGAAATGGGCACAATATCTTCTTTTACTCTTCAATTTTGAACTGGGAATTTCCAGCCAAAAACCTTGAGAGGATGTTTGGAGGAGGAGGGCACAGAAAGGAGACCTCTGCCAAGGAAGAAGAATCTCTGGCCTTCGGCCTCCTGGAGGGGTCTCTAGGCTTATACATTTAAACTATGCAAAACCAGAATGGCCACCAGGAGGGAGGATTTAGAGCAGGAAGGACTGGGAAATTTTTAAGAAATAATCCTCTCCACATAATGAGATTATTGTACTCATAACGATGACTGAACATCTTCTAAGTGCTGTGCTCTGTGCTGTGCTGTTCAGATACAATGTCTCATTTAATTATCAAAATGACTTTCAAAAAACTAAAAATACAACTACCATTTAGCAATCCCACTACTGTGTATATACACAAATGGAAAGAAGGCATTACATCAAAAAGACACCTAGCTGTACCTGCATGTTTATTGCAGCATTGTTCACAACATTGATGGCAGCAGTGCCTATCTAGAGTGGCCGCTGCCAAGACCCTGGCTGCAGTAGGGAGGTGGGTTGGGCCTTCTGCTCCATGGAGCAGGCAAGAGCCTCGCCCTCCTGGGTCTCTGCAGTCAGTACCCTCAGGGGTCAAGAAGGCCCACCTGCCCTACCCCCATCTCCACAGGCTGGGGGTGTCTGCTCCTGCTGCCTGGCCTTTCCTTGCTTGTGGTGCCTGCTCCAATCTCAGAGCAGGGTTGGGGCCGAATTCGGGCACTTTCACAGCCTGGTTGGGTGTGCGCACACTTGGGGCAGTGCTGACATGCCAGCCCCCTGCTACCTCAGCCCCCTCTGGGCTTTGGGTGTCAAGGAGCACAGGAGGGGAAGCTGAGCAGGTGCTGAGGGCAGCTCGGCACTGGCCTACAAGTTCCCCTTGGTGCAAGCAGCCTGGGCACCATGGATGGCTGTAGGAGGTGGACAGGCTCCTGGGTGGAAGAAGGCAGGTCCCCAGTGAAGCCCCTCCTTCAGGCTCAGGGAAGGCCTGAAGCCTGGGGACCAGGCTGCCAGTCCTGCCTACCAGAGGAGGAACTCATAGTGCTTTTTCCTGGGACCGCCCATGGCTGCCCATGGACCAATCAGGATGCACTTCCCCGCACTGGGGCCCATAAGAGCCCCAGGCTCAGCCAGAGCAAGGCTGACAACAGGTCTACCAACTGCAGAGAGGAGCTATGCTTTCTGCTGATAGCTGGAGAAAGTTGGGACAACCAGAAGCAGAGAGGAGCTTCCTACCTCAGGGATGACCTGCCTGCAGAGAGGAGTAACCCACTCCAGGGCCTCCTTTCTGCTAAGAGCTGCATAGATCATGGGATGACTTGTCAGCAGAGAGGAGCCAGCCACCCCAGGACCTCCCTATCTCTACTGAGCTGTTTACTGCTCAGTAAGGCTCCTCTTCTTCTTGCTCACCTTCCACTTATCTGCATGCTTCATTCTTATTGGTTGCAGGACAAGAACTTGGGGCCTGCTGAATGGCAAGGCTAGAAGAGCTGTAACACAAACTGGGCTCAAACATGCCACTTGCTCACCACATTGCAGGAGAAGAGATGGGGAGAAGAGCTGCAGCCCTTCAGGGAGCCCAGACCTGGGAACTTCCTGAGCTGGGGCTGTGACTCCTTCTTTGGGGCCCTGCATTTCCTGGCATCTCTAAGCTTCCAGATGCCACTGCATTCCCCAGTGCCAGCTGGGGAAGCTGCTTGCAGTGTGCCTGGTCCAGCTGCAGCCTCGCAGAGAGCTGGCACCTGTGCTGGCACCTGGAGCTGCCTGCCCCACTGTACCAGCCAGCAGACTGTGCACAGTGGCCAGACCCCATGCTCTCTCCCTCACACACCCCTCACTGCTCCATGCCTGGCTTGCCCTTGGCAGGCGTGGGACCCAGGCTAGTAGTGTGAGTTGAGTACAGCCTGCCAGGCCAAGTGGGCAGAACAAGCTAAGCAGGCCCGAGCAAAAGTCAAGCAAAGGCACCACTGGCCACAGAGATTTCCAGCCAGAAAAGCAACACCCCAAAGATCCCATAACCATAGCAAAGGTATGGAATGAACCTAAGTGTCCATCAATGGAGAACTGGATAAAGAAAATGTGGTATATATGTACCATGGAATACTACTCAGCCATGAAAAGAACGAAATCATGTCTTTTGCAGCAACATGGATTGAACTGGAGGCCATTATCCTAAGTGAAATAACTCAGACACAGAAAGTCAAATACTGCTTCTCACAAGTGGGAGCTAAACAATGGGTACACATGGGTATACAGAGCAGAATAATAGACACATGGCACTCCAAAAGGTGAGAGGTGAGAGGGGCTAGGGCTCGAAAAATTACTTATTGAGTACAACGTTCATTATTTAGGAGATGGGTTCACTGAACAACTAGACTTCACCACTGTGGAATGTATGCATCTAAGAAATCTGCACTTGGCCGGGTGCGGAGGCTCACACCTATAATCCCAGCACTTTGGGGGGCCGAGGCAGGTGGATCACCTGAGGTCGGGAGTTCGAGACCAGTCTGGACAACATGGCAAAACCCTAAAATGTCTCTACTAAAAATACAAAAATTAGCTTGATGTGGTGGTGCGTGCCTGTAGTCCCAGATACTCAGGAAGGTGAGGCAGGAGAATCACTTGAACCCAGGAGGTGGAGGTTTCAGTGGGCCGAGATCACACCACTGCACTCCAGCCTAGGTAACAGGGCAAGACTCCATTTAAAAAAAAAAAAAGAAAAGAAAGAAAAAAATCTGCACTTGTACCTCCTAAATCTATAAAAATAAAAAATTAAGAAAAAACAGCTTTGAGGTAGTTCTATCATTACCACCATTTTGCAGATGAGGGGCTGTGGTGCAGAAAGCTGGACATGGGTTTCAGGTCACAGATCTTAGAGACTGCACAGCAAAGATTCAAATCCAGAGGAGTCTGTCTTCAGTCTGAGCTCTTGACCGCCATGTCTTACCAGTGGTCTGTCAATCTTGGCTTAAGTAAACAAATGCATTCTCTTTTCCTTCCTTCATCTCATCCTTCAGTGCCTACCAATGCCCCTCTCCTGATCTGAAAAACAGATCTGCTTTTCTGCCTGCTCCTCAGTCTATCCTCAAAGGCCTGGGCCAGCAGTGTGCATAGAGTCTGAAAAGGCATCACACAATGTGCCTTTGGCTCCCAGGTGGCAGCCCACTCACCTGGGCTGATGGCTCAGTGTGACTGGGATTTGGGTGTGATGGGGGATGAACCAATTTGGGGGGAATTAGTTGGCAGTGCCAGGCTACGATATTTGGGAGCTTACGAACAAGTGGGCCATGACAGTGTCTCTCACAGCTACGCTTGGAATAAAAGCAAGTGAGGAATGTGCTGAGTGTGCATTACCCAGCGTGGACGGAGCCCTCTCAGTCTACCCTCAAGGCCATTTTTTGTGCACACACACCCCACCCCCCACCCTCATGGGATTCAGGGCACTCTTGTCTCACCTACAACAGTTCTGTCATCACAAAATCTGCTACTAAGATTTTATTTGCAAGGCTTAGGTTTGGGACTTTCTGGGGCCAAAATATTTCTATCGTTTTTCACTTCTTAAAGGCTAGACAGAGCGGACTTCAAGCCTACTCTCTTGATCTGTTATTTTGCTCTTAGTGATCTGTTTAGGTTTTTCTCTGTGGGTAATTGTGCGATGTTTTAAAGATGCCTGAAGGCGTCTTGACCGTGACTTGATAGGGTCTGACTTCAGAGGGTCTCATAGTCTCCCTGAGTTCTTTAAAGGCTCTAGTAACTGGTAGAGTCTTAAAAATATGCAGCCATTTCTCCAAAGCTTGCCTATTGGTTTGGGAGCATTTTAAATGGCAGATGCTTTTGATCCACCTTTCTTCTGTCTCTGAGATGACTCCCACCCACTGCACGTGGTCTATGCACAGGTTATCAAACCGGAATTGACCTCCCCACAGAGAAGGGAGGTTAAAAAAAAAAAAAAAAAGACACGGAAATCCTCTTTCTTTTTATTGTTGTCCACTATTACTCACCTCATATAATAAACGGGCAGCTCTTTCTTTGGTCTTCCCCTTGAGGCTGCTGTATTTAAAAATCTAAAGAATGCAAAGAATGCTTACTGTGAACTATAAGAGTATCTTTCAGCCACAAATGCTCTTGCCACCTCTTAGCTTCCAGGCAAAGATACACTTGTAAGGGAAAGGCAGCCAGAAGTATGGGGGCCTGAGGTGGGGGTATATGTGGGGGCTGAGGGTTGATATTAATGGAGTTTGTTCTCCTTTTCTCCCTCAGACAGGCTTTATCATTTTCTGTCTTGAAAAATTACTAAGTAGCATTTGAAATAAACTCCCCCAGGGAAAATGACATGGATATTGTGAATTTTAAGTAAAAATCACTTTCTGCCTCTCTGCATGATTAATTCTTCTTCATATCTTCTTTTCCAAATATCGTGTTAAAAACAGTATTGCGTTTACATATAGTCTTAAATAACCATGGTTAATAGCAGAAGAAAGATAGTTCTTTGTCTGACTAAAGCAAGTAACTTTTTCAGTGCAAAGTATCAGTTGTAGGGCTGGAGACAGTGGAAGTTGCTGTTCTGCCCTCTGTTTCTAGAAAAATAAAGTTTTTCTGAGACTAAAAAGGAAGCAAAGGACACAATTCTGAAAGGAGGAAAGTTTTCCTATTGATGATTAGGACTTTAACTTTACCCTGGAAATAATGAGCTTGGTTCTTTCTTTTATCCTCAGGAAGACTTAAGAGATACCTTAAGTTTGTTTTGCCCCTTTCTTCTTTCAGAGATCCTGCACTTCACTATACTAATGCCAACGTGGGGAGAACTGGTTTCTTTACAACCCAGAGAGCCCAATGGAAAGTGGTATTCTTTGTCTCCGCAAAACTAAAATAACAAGTGTTTCTTGCAGGTAATAAGGCACAAGTGTAGGCCACACAGAAACGGTGACCCAATCTGGGCACAAATGGGACTCTTTGCCATTTTAGGATGTCGTGTTGGAATTTCAAAGAGCTGAAACCAAGGTCAGAGCTGGTCATATTTAGGAAACAATCCTCTAACAACCTTCGCTTTGCCTGACCTGTTTCACGTAGTATAGTCCAGATTCATTTGTTTCCACTTCCTTGCCTGGAATGCCTTCCTTTCCTTTAATGAGTTTGAGTCTGGTCCTTTCTTCCAATATGCTGCTCCAGTTTTACCTACTTGCAAAAGCCTTTCAAAGTTTCCAATTCCTAGTCTCGAGGGATTGCCTTTTTCTCTGGATTCCTATGCCCCTTGGATCTCTAGTTCATGCATTCAGCCAGTCATTCATGATGTTCCCTCTCTCTGGGATGCTCTTCTCCCAGGTCTTTGCATGGCTGGCTTCTTCTCACTCAACTGAAATGCCACTTTCAGTTTCCCTCACTACCATTCTAAAGTAGGAGCCTTTTCTGTATATTCAGAGACTGTTGAGTTGAGACAGATCTGAAGATGGAAGATACTAGATCCACACCCGTTAGTGTAAGAAACAGAGAAATTTCCTGGAAATTTCTGGTGGCTAAAATATGTGAGATGCAAATGTGTATTTTAAGGATGGTAGTTTAATGTGAATAAGCAGGAAAGACTGTGTGTTTAGCTCATATTAATCTCTGGGGTCTTCCCCTAGTTGTTCTCTGGATGAGGTTTCTTAGTATTGAGGATTGACAGAGGGTGTACCTAACCTGAAGAAGTAAGGAAAGTAAAACCTTAAATGCCAGTAAACATCATACAGTTTAGGTTGAAAAACTCTTGTAGCTCATTAAAAGGGTTCACAGGAAGGTTTCAAAAGCAGGGTATTGAACCAGAAATGTAGGTCTGGGGAAATGAAACCTAAGTGTAAGATAAATGGAAGTGAGAAGTAGAAATAGGAATTAGAAAGAAAGTAGTGTGAAAATGGAATAGCTATGGGAGAAAATTGTTTACAGTGCCATTGGGGTGCACATCCTACTTTTGTAAAGAAAAGTTTAAAATAACATCTTTATTAACATATAGTTCACATATCATATAATCACCCATTTAAAGTGCACAATTCAAAGGTTTTTAGTATATTCACAGATACATGTCACCATCACCACAGCCAAAATTAGAACATTTTTATCACCTCATAAAGAAGCCCCATATTTTTTAGCTACTACCCCCCATCCCTCCTATCTCCAGACAAACACTGAAGTGCCTTCTGTCTTTATGGATTTGCCTGTTCAGGATATTTCATGTAAATGGAATTATATAATACATAGTCTTTGTCTTATGTAATTTCCTTCTTTCCCTTAACATAATGTTTTCAAGGTTCATTCGTGTCAAAGCGTGTGGTAGTACTTCCTCTTTTTTTTTCTTTTTTTTTTTTTTTTTGAGACAGAGTCTCACTTTGTCGCCCAGGCTAGAGTGCAGTGGCATGATCTCAGCTCACTGCAACCTCCGCCTCCCGGGTTCAAGCAATTCTCCTGCCTCAGCCTCCCGAGTAGCTAGCATTACAGGCCTGCTCCACCATGCCAGGCTAATTTTTTGTATTTTTAGCAAAGACGGGGTTTCACCATGCTGGCCAGGCTGGTCTCTAACTGCTGACCTCGTGATCCACCCACCTCGGCCTCCCAAAGTGCTGGGATTACAGGCATGAGCCACTGCGCCTGGCTGCAGTACTTCCTTTTTATGGCCAAATAATGTTTCATCGTATGGATGGATGTATAATGTTTTGTTTGGTCATTGATCAGTTGATAGACATTTGGGTTGTTTCTACCTTTTGGCTATTATGAATAATGCTGGTATAAATATTCATGTATGGGTTTTTGTGTGGATGTATGTTTTCATCTTCCCTGGTAGATATCTAGGAGTAAAATTTTGAGTCACATGGTAACTCTATGCTTAACCTTCTGAGGAGCTGCCAGACTGTTTTACACAGTAGCTGCACCATTTTCCATTCTCACCAGCAGTCTGTAAGGATTCTGATTTTTCCACATCCTTGTCAACACTTGCTCTTATCTAACTTTTTGAGTATAGATATCCTGGTGGGTGTGAAATGGCATCGTGTTGTCGTTTTGGTTTTGATTTCTCTGATGACTAATGACATCAAGCATACTTTTATACATTTATGACTTCTTTGGAGAAATGTTTATTCAAATCTTTTACCCAATTTTTAAAATTAGGCTTTTATTATTTTTATTATAGAATTATATGAGTTCTTTATATATTTTAGATGTAAGTCTCCTATCAGATATATGATTTCAATTTTTTTCTCTCATTCTGTGGATTGTCTTTTTACTTTCTTGACCATATTCTTTGAAGCAGAAAAGCTTTAATTTTGATGAAGTCTATTGTTTTGGACTATTTTTTCTTTTTCTGCTCATGCTTTTGGTGTCATAACTAAGAATGTATTACCAACTGCAAGATCACAAAAATTTACCTCCATATTTTATTCTAAGAGTTGTATTGTTTTCACTCATATATTTAGGTGTTTGACTCCCATTGAGTTAATTTCTATATATAGTGTAAGTTAGAGGTTCGATTTCATTCTTTGGCATGTGGCTACCTTGTTGTTCCAGCATCCTTTGTTGAAAAGATCGTTCTTTTCTCTTTAAAAAGCTTGGAACGCTTGTCAAAAATCAGTGCACCATAGGCAGATGGATTTAATTCTAGATTCTTGATTCTATTCCATTTCTCTGTATGTTTGTCCTTATGACAGTGCCACACTGTCTTGATTACTGTTGATTTGTAGTAAGTTTTGACACTGAGAAGTTTGAGTCCTCCAACTTTATCCTTCTGTTTCAAGACTTTTTTAAATAGCTTTTTTGGGTACCTTGCAATTCCATATAATTTTAAAGTCAACTTGTCAATTTCTACAGAAAAAGCTAGCTGTGATTGTGATAGAGATTGCATTGAACCTATAGATGAACTTGAGGAACATTGCCATCTCTATAATATTAAATCTTCTGATTCATGAACATGGGTTATTTTTAATTTATTGAAATCATTTAAAATTTCTTTTAACAATATTTTGAAGTCCTCAAAATATAAATTTTGCATTTTTTGTTAAATATTTTTCTAAGTATTTTATTGTTTCTGATTTTTTAAATTTTTTAAATTTTATTTTTAGATTGTTAATTGCAATTGTATAGAAATACAATTGATTTTTGTATATTGATCTTCTAACCTGCAAATTTGCTGAACTCATTACTTCTAATTATTTTTTAAAGTAAATTTCTTGGGATTTTTAATGACAAGATCATGTCATCTGCAGATATAATTTTATTTCATTCTTTTCAATTTTGGTACCCCTTTCCTTTCCTTTCCTTTCCTTTCCTTTTTCCTTTCCTCTTTCCTTTCCTCTTTCCTTTCCCTTTCCCTTTCCCTTTCCCTTTCCCTTTTCCTTTTCCTTTTCCTTTCCTTTCCTTCCTTTCCTTTCCTTTCCTTTCCTTCTAAATTGCCTTGGCTAAAACCTCTAGAACGACATTGAATAAAATTGACAAGAGTGAACATACCTATTTGTTCCTGATCTTAGGGTAAAACATCCAGTTATTCACCATTAACTATGGTGTTAGCTCTGAGCTTTTTTCATGGATTTCCTTTATCAGATTGAGGAAGCTCCATTCCGCTCTTAGTTTGTGAAGTGCTTTCATCATGGAAAGGTGCTGGGTTTTGTCAAATGCTTTTCTGCATGTATTGAGATGCTCACATGGTTTTTGTTTTTCATTCTATTGATATGATATATTGTATTAGTTGATTTTCAGATGTTAAACTTTGTATTCCTGGTATGAATTCTACTTTGTCATGGTGTATAAATCTTTTTTTCTGTTGCTGTATTTGACTTGTTAGCATTTTATGCAGGGCTTTTGTATCCTTATTCATAAGAGATATTGGTCTGTAGTTTTCTTGTCTAGTTTTGATATCAGGGTAATACTGGCCTCATAGAATAAGATGGGGAGTGTTCCCTCCCATTTTATTATTTTTGGAAAAGTTTGTGAAGATTCGTTATTAATTCTTCTTTAAATATTTGATGGAATTCATCAGTAAAGCCATCTGCCCCTGGTCCCCTCTTTGTGGGTAGTTTTTTGATTACTAATTTAATTTCTCTACTTGTTATAGATCTATTCACATTGTCTATTTCTTCTTGAGTCAGTTTTGGTACCTTATATCTTTCTATAAATTTTTCTACTTTATCTATTTTTCCCAACTTAATGTTATACAACTGTTCCTAGTATTCCTTTTTAATCCCTTTTATTTCTGTATGATCAGTAAAAATATCCTTTACTATTTCTGATTCTACTAATTTGAGTGTTCTCTTTTTTCCTTGATCAATCTAAATAATTGACAATTTTTTTGTATTTTTTTAAAGAACCAGCTTTTGATTTTGTTGATTTTTTTCTATTGTATTTGTATTCTGTATTTCATTAATTTTCACTTTAATATTTATGATTTTCTTCCTTCTATTTGCCTTAAGTTTAGTTTGCTCTTGTTTTTCCAGTACTTTAAATGGAAGATTATATTATTATTTTGAGATCTTTTTTGTTTTTTAACATAGGTATCTACAGGTGTAATTTTTCCCTGAAACCCTGCTTTAGTTATATCCCATAAGTTTTAATATGTTGTGTCTTCATTTTAACTCATTATGAAGTTTTTTCTAATTATTGCTTTTTTCTTTGACACGTTTGTTGATTTCCAAATATTTGTGTATTTCCAAAATTTGTTATTGACTTCTAATTTTATTCCATTGTGATTAGAGATTATACTTTGTATTATGTCTATCTTTTTGAATTTATTTATTTTTAAACTTTTATTTCAGGTTTGGGGGTACATGTGAAGGTTTGTTAATAGGTAAACTCAGGTTTACCTCTGGTTTCTTATATAGGTAAACACCAGGGTTTGTTGTACAAATTATTTAATCACCCAGGTATTAAGCCCAGTACCCAATAGTTATATTTTTGTGCTCTTCCCCTTCCTCCCACTCTCTACCCTCAAGTAGACCAAAGTGTCTGTTGTTTCCTTCTTTGTGTTCATAAGTTCTCATCATTTAGCTCCCACTTAAAAGTAAGAACATGCAAAATTTGGTTTTTTGTTCCTGTGTTAGTTTGCTAAGTCCAGCCCCATCCACGTTCCTGCAAAAGACGTGATCTCATTCTTTTTTATGGTTGTGTAGTATTCCATGGTATATATGTACCACATTTTCTTCTTTTTATTCTTTTTTTTAAAATTTTATTATTATTATACTTTAAGTTTTAGGGTACATGTGCACAATGTGCAGGTTAGTTACACATGTATACATGTGCCATGCTGGTGTGCTGCACCCATTAACTCATCATTTAGCATTAGGTATATCTCCTAATGCTATCCCTCCCCCTCCCCCCACCCCACGACAGTCCCCAGAGTGTGATGTTCCCCTTCCTGTGTCCATGTGTTCTCATTGTTCAATTCCCACCTATGAATAAGAATATGCAGCGTTTGGTTTTTTGTTCTTGCAATAGTTTACTGAGAATGATGATTTCCAATTTCATCCATGTCCCTACAAAGGACATGAACTCATCATTTTTTATGGCAGCATAGTATTCTATGTTGTATATGTGCCACATTTTCTTAATCCAGTCTATCATCGTTGGACATTTGGGTTGGTTCCAAGTCTTTGCTATTGTGAATAGTGCCGCAAGAAAAATACGTGTGCATGTGTCTTTATAGCAGCATGATTTATAGTCCTTTGGGTATATACCCAGTAATGGGATGGCTGGGTCAAATGGCATTTCTAGTCCTGGATCCCTGAGGAATCGCCACACTGACTTCCACAATGGTTGAACTAGTTTACAGTCCCACCAACAGTGTAAAAGTGTTCCTATTTCTCGACATCCTCTCCAGCACCTGTTGTTTCCTGACTTTTTAATGATTGCCATTCTAACTGGTGTGAGATGGTATCTCATTGTGGTTTTGATTTGCGTTTTTCTGATGGCCAGTGATGGTGAGCATTTTTTCATGTGTTTTTTGGCTGCATAAATGTCTTCTTTTGAGCAGTGTCTGTTCATGTCCTTTGCCCACTTTTTGATGGGGTTGTTTGTTTTTTTCTTGTAAATGTGTTTGAGTTCATTGTAGATTCTGGATATTAGCCCTTTGTCAGATGAGTAGGTTGTGAAAATTTTCTCCCATTTTGTAGGTTGCCTGTTCACTGTGATGGTAGTTTCTTTTGCTGTGCAGAAGCTCTTTAGTTTAATTAGATCCCATTTGTCAATTTTGGCTTTTGTTGCCATTGCTTTTGGTGTTTTAGACATGAAGTCCTTGCCCATGCCTACGTCCTGAATGGTAATGCCTAGGTTTTCTTCTAGGGTTTTTATGGTTTTAGGTCTAGCATTTAAGTCTTTAATCCATCTTGAATTAATTTTTGTATAAGATGTAAGGAAGGGATCCAGTTTCAGCTTTCTACATATGGCTAGCCAGTTTTCTCAGCACCATTTATTAAATAGGGAATCCTTTCCCCATTGCTTGTTTTTCTCAGGTTTGTCAAAGATCAGATAGTTGTAGATATGCGGCGTTATTTCTGAGGGCTCTGTTCTGTTCCATTGATCTATATCTCTGTTTTGGTAGCAGTACCATGCTGTTTTGGTTACTGTAGCCTTGTAGTATAGTTTGAAGTCAGGTAGCGTGATGCCTCCAGCTTTGTTCTTTTGGCTTAGGATTGACTTGGTGATGCGGGCTCTTTTTTGGTTCCATATGAACTTTAAAGTAGTTTTTTCCAATTCTGTGAAGAAAGTCGTTGGTAGCTTGATGGGGATGGCATTGAATCTATAAATTACCTTGGGCAGTATGGCCATTTTCACGATATTGATTCTTCCTACCCATGAGCATGGAATGTTCTTCCATTTCTTTGTATCCTCTTTTATTTCCTTGAGCAGTGGTTTGTAGTTCTCCTTGAAGAGGTCCTTCACATCCCTTGTAAGTTGGATTCCTAGGTATTTTATTCTCTTTGAAGCAATTGTGAATGGGAGTTCACTCATGATTTGGCTCTCTGTTTGTCTGTTATTGGTGTATAAGAATGCTTGTGATTTTTGTACATTGATTTTGTATACTGAGACTTTGCTGAAGTTGCTTATCAGCTTAAGGAGATTTTGGGCTGAGACAATGGGGTTTTCTAGATATACAGTCATGTCATCTGCAAACAGGGACAATTTGACTTCTTCTTTTCCTAATTGAATACCCGTTATTTCCTTCTCCTGCCTAATTGCCCTGGCCAGAACTTCCAACACTATGTTGAATAGGAGTGGTGAAAGAGGGCATCCTTGTCTTGTGCCAGTTTTCAAAGGGAATGCTTCCAGTTTTTGCCCATTCAGTATGATATTGGCTGTGGGTTTGTCATAGATAGCTCTTATTATTTTGAGATACATCCCATCAATACCTAATTTATTGAGAGTTTTTAGCATGAAGTAATGTTGAATTTTGTCAAAGGCCTTTTCTGCCTCTATTGAGATAATCATATGGTTTTTGTCTTTGGTTCTGTTTATATGCCGGATTACATTTATTGATTTGCGTATATTGAACCAGCCTTGCATCCCAGGGATGAAGCCCACTTGATCATGGTGGATAAGCTTTTTGATGTGCTGCTGGATTCGGTTTGCCAGTATTTTATTGAGGATTTTTGCATCAATGTTCATCAAGGATATTGGTCTAAAATTCTCTTTTTTGGTTGTGTCTCTGCCCGGCTTTGGTATCAAGATGATGCTGGCCTCATAAAATGAGTTAGGGAGGATTCCCTCTTTTTCTATTGATTGGAATAGTTTCAGAAGGAATGGTACCAGTTCCTCCTCATACCTCTGGAAGAATTTGGCTGTGAATCCATCTGGTCCTGGACTCTTTTTGGTTGGTAAGCTATTGATTATTGCGACAATTTCAGAGCCTGTTATTGGTCTATTCAGAGACTCAACTTCCTCCTGGTTTAGTCTTGGGAGGGTGTATGTGTCGAGGAATTCATCCATTTCTTCTAGATTTTCTAGTTTATTTGCATAGAGGTGTTTGTAGTATTCTCTGATGGTAGTTTGTATTTCTGTGGGATCGGTGGTGATATCCCCTTTATCATTTTTTATTGTGTCTATTTGATTCTTCTCTCTTTTCTTCTTTATTAGTCTTGCTAGCGGTCTATCGATTTTGTTGATCCTTTCAAAAAACCAGGTCACGAATCCATTGATTTTTTGAAGGGTTTTTTGTGTCTCTATTTCCTCCAGTTCTGCTCTGATTTTAGTTATTTCTTGCCTTCTGCTAGCTTTTGAATGTGTTTGCTCTTGCTTTTCTAGTTCTTTTAATTGTGATGTTAGGGTTTCAATTTTGGATCTTTCCTGCTTTCTCTTGTGGGCATTTAGTGCTATAAATTTCCCTCTACACACTGCTTTGAATGTGTCCCAGAGATTCTGGTATGTTGTGTCTTTGTTCTCGTTGGTTTCAAAGAACATCTTTATTTCTGCCTTCATTTCGTTATGTACCCAGTAGTCATTCAGGAGCAGGTTGTTCAGTTTCCATGTAGTTGAGCGGTTTTGAGTGAGTTTCTTAATCCTGAGTTCTAGTTTGATTGCACTGTGGTCTGAGAGACAGTTTGTTATAATTTCTGTTCTTTTACATTTGCTGAGGAGAGCTTTACTTCCAACTATGTGGTCAATTTTGGAATAGGTGTGCTGTGGTGCTGAAAAAAATGTATATTCTGTTGATGTGGGGTGGAGAGTTCTGTAGATGTCTATTAGGTCGGCTTGGTGCAGAGCTGAGTTCAATTCCTGGGTATCCTTGTTAACTTTCTGTCTCGTTGATCTGTCTAATGTTGACAGTGGGGTGTTAAAGTCTCCCATTATTATTGTGTGGGAGTCTAAGTCTCTCTGTAGGTCACTCAGGACTTGCTTTATGAATCTGGGTGCTCCTGTATTGGGTGCATATATATTTAGGATAGTTAGCTCTTCTTGTTGAATTGATCCCTTTACCATTATGTAATGGCCTTCTTTGTCTCTTTTGATCTTTGCTGGTTTAAAGTCCGTTTTATCAGAGACTAGGATTGCAACCCCTGCCTTTTTTTGTTTTCTATTTGCTTGGTAGATCTTCCTCCATCCTTTTATTTTGAGCCTATGTGTGTCTCTGCATGTGGGATGGGTTTCCTGAATACAGCACACTGATGGCTCTTGACTCTTTATCCAATTTGCCAGTCTGTGTCTTTTAATTGGAGCATTTAGTCTATTTACATTTAAAGTTAATATTGTCATGTGTGAATTTGATCCTGTCATTATGATGTTAGCTGGTTATTTTGCTCGTTAGTTGATGCAGTTTCTTCCTAGCCTCAATGGTCTTTACAATTTGGCATGATTTTGCAGTGGCTGGTACTGGTTTTTCCTTTCCATGTTTAGTGCTTCCTTCATGAGCTCTTTTAGGGCAGGCCTGGTGGTGACAAAATCTCTCAGCATTTGTTTGTCTGTAAAGGATTTTATTTCTCCTTCACTTATGAAGCTTCGTTTGGCTGGATATGAAATTCTGGGTTGAAAATTCTTTTCTTTAAGAATGTTGAATATTGGCCCCCACTCTCTTCTGGCTTGTAGAGTTTCTGCCGAGAGATCCGCTGTTAGTCTGATGGGCTTCCCTTTGTGGGTAACCCGACCTTTCTCTCTGGCTGCCCTTAACATTTTTTCCTTCATTTCAACTTTGGTGAATCTGACAATTTTGTGTCTTGGAGTTGCTCTTCTCGAGGAGTATCTTTGTGGCGTTCTGTGTATTTCCTGAATCTGAATGTTGGCCTGCCTTGCTAGATTGGGGAAGTTCTCCTGGATAATATCCTGCAGAGTGTTTTCCAACTTGGTTCCATTCTCCCCATCACTTTCAGGTACACCAATCAGATGTAGATTTCGTCTTTTCACATAGTCCCATATTTCTTGGAGGCTTTGTTTGTTTCTTTTTATTCTTTTTTCTCTAAACTTCCCTTCTCACTTCATTTCATTCATTTCATCTTCCATCACTGATACCCTTTCTTCCAGTTGATCGCATCGGCTCCTGAGGCTTCTGCATTCTGCACGTAGTTCTCGAGCCTTGGCTTTCAGCTCCATCAGCTCCTTTAAGCACTTCTCTGTATTGGTTATTCTAGTTATACATTTGTCTAAATTTTTTTCAAAGTTTTTGACTTCTTTGCCTTTGGTTTGAATTTCCTCCTGTAGCTCGGAGTACTTTGATCGTCTGAAGCCTTCTTCTCTCAACTTGTCAAAGTCATTCTCCGTCCAGCTTTGTTCCGTTGCTGGTGAGGAACTGCGTTCCTTTGGAGGAGGAGAGGCGCTCTGCTTTTTAGAGTTTCCAGTTTTTCTGCTCTGTTTTTTCCCCATCTTTGTGGTTTTATCTACTTTTGGTCTTTGATGATGGTGATGTACAGATGGGTTTTTGGTGTGGATGTCCTTTCTGTTTGTTAGTTTTCCTTCTAACAGACAGGACCCTCAGCTGCAGGTCTGTTGGAGTTTGCTAGAGGTCCACTCCAGACCCTGTTTGCCTGGGTACCAGCAGTGGTGGCTGCAGAACAGCGGATTTTCGTGAACCGCGAATGCTGCTGTCTGATCGTTCCTCTGGAAGTTTTGTCTCAGAGGAATACCCGGCCGTGTGAGGTGTCAGTCTGCCCCTACTGGGGGGTGCCTCCCAGTTAGGCTGCTCGGGGGTCAGGGGTCAGGAGTCAGGGACCCACTTGAGGAGGCAGTCTGCCCGTTCTCAGATCTCCAGCTGCGTGCTGGGAGAACCACTGCTTTCTTCAAAGCTGTCAGACAGGGACATTTAAGTCTGCAGAGGTTACTGCTGTCTTTTTGTTTGTCTGTGCCCTGCCCCCAGAGGTGGAGCCTATAGAGGCAGGCAGGCCTCCTTGAGCTGTGGTGGGCTCCACCCAGTTGGAGCTTCCCAGCTGCTTTGTTTACCTCAGCAAGCCTGGGCAATGGCAGGCGCCCCTCCCCCAGCCTCGCTGCCGCCTTGCAGTTTGATCTCAGACTGCTGTGCTAGCAATCAGTGAGACTCCATGGGCGTAGGACCCTCCGAGCCATGTGCGGGATATAATCTCCTGGTGCGCTGTTTTTTAAGCCCGTCGGAAAAGCGCAGTATTAGGGTGGGAGTGGCCCGATTTTCCAGGTGCCGCCTGTCACCCCTTTCTTTGACTAGGAAAGGGAACTCCCTGACCCCTTGCGCTTCCCGAGTGAGGCAATGCCTCGCCCTGCTTTGGCTCGCGCACGGTGCGCTGCACCCACTGTCCTGCACCCACTCTCTGGCACTCCCTAGTGAGATGAACCCAGTACCTCAGATGGAAATGCAGAAATCACCTGTCTTCTGTGTCGCTCACGCTGGGAGCTGTAGACCGGAGTTCTTCCTATTCTGCCATCTTGGGTCGTCCCACATTTTCTTTATCTGATCTGTCACTGATGAATATTTGGGTTGATTCCATGCCTTTGCTATTGTGAATAGTGCTGCGATGAACATTTGCATTATGTATCTTTACATTATTTTATCTTTATGATAAAATAATTTATATTTCTCTGGGTATATACCCAGTAATGGAATGCTGGGTTGAATGGTAGTTCTGTTTTTAGCTTTTTGAGAAATACCATACTGCTTTCTACAATGGTTGAACTAATTTACACTCCCACCAACAGTGTATAAGTGTATTGCGTTTTCTCCGCAACCTTACCTGCATCTGTTATTTTTTGGCTTCTTAATAATAGCCATTCTGACTGATGTTAGATGGTATCTCATTGTGGTTTTCTCATTGCAGCCCTGTAGTATAGTTTGAAATTTGGTAATGTGATGCTTCCAGCTTTGTTCTTTATGCTTGATATTGCCTTGGCTATTCGGGCTCTTTTTGAATATGAATTTTAAAATAGTTTTTTCTAGTTCTGTGAAGCATGTCATTGGTAGTTTGATAGGAATTGCACTGAATCTATAAATTGCTTTGGGCAGTGTGGCCATTTTGATAATATTGATTTTTCCTATTTATGAGCTTGGAATGTTTTTCTATTTGTTTGTGCCATCTCTGATTTCTTTGGATAGTGTTTTATTGTGATTTTAGTAGTAGAACTCTTTCACTTCCCTGGTTAGCTGTATTCCTAGGTATTTTATTCTTTTTGTGGCAATTGTGAATGGGATTGCCTTTCTGATATGGCTTTTGGCTTGGCTGTTTGTGTATAGGAATGCTAGTGATTTTTGTACATTGATTTTGTATCCTAAACTTTGCTGAGGTTGTTTATCAGCTGAAGGAGCTTTTGGACCAAGACTATGGGGTTTTCTAGATATAGAATCATGTTGTCTGCAAACAGGGATAGTTTGACTTTCTTCATATTTGGATGCCCTTATTTCATTCTCTTGCCTGATTGCTGTGGCTAGGATTTCCAGCACTATATCAAATAGGATTGGTGAGAGAGGATGTGTTTGTCTTGTGCCAGTTTTCAAGGGGAATGCTTGCAGCTTTTGCCCATTCAGTATAATGTTGGCTGTGGGTTTGTCATAGATGGCTCTTATTATTTTGAGGTATGTTCTTTCAATACCTAGATTTTTTAGAGTTTTTAACATAAAGGGGTGTTGAATTTTATTGCTAGCATTTTCTGCATCTATAGGGATACAATGTTGCTTCCTTTTTAAATTTATTGAGGTTTGTTTTATAACCTATCCTATGGCCTACCCTGAAGCATGTTATATGTGTACTTGAGAAAAAGGCCTAAATATGTGTGTTAGGTCTAGTTGTTTTATAGTGTTGTTCAAATCTTCTATTTCCTTGTTGGTCTTCTTGCCAATTGTTTGTCCATTATTGAAAATGGGGTAATGAAGTTTGCAACTAAGGAGGACTGTTTTTGAAATGCTCAGCTTCAGAGATACTAATTGTATTGATAGAGGCCTCTTTTGAAACTGCATCTCAGCTCAACTTCTCCCTTTTCCCAAACCTACTTCTTTCACTTTTTTATAAGTTTGTTTCCAAGGGCTCTCCCAACAAACTCTCAGCATGAAATCTCTGTATCAGTGTGTATTTCCCAGGGATTTAAAATCTTAAATGGTCTTAGAAACAAACTTAAAGTAAGATTTTGGTGCTGGATTCATCAATGGTTGGCTAGCTGGCAATGAAGACTATAGCACTGGTAGTCTTTGAAGCACTGATACACACTGACATGCTGTAGCAGTGTAATAACAAAAAAAGAAAAAAGAAAAAAAAACTAACTGTAAACTGAAATGGGATACCAGAGGAAGGAAATGCACTGGAGAATGTTGTATCTTAGGCACTTAGAGGTTTCTGAGAAAGAAGAAATTATAAAGATTATGGAATCATATGGCTCTTGTTGGTTTCCACTGATGCACTGACAAAAGAAAATGAAAGATTGTGGATGATTAATCACACATTTAAGGTGAAGCCTAAAAGCCAGAGAAGCTCCTTGGCAGCTTACAAACAGGCTCTCTTCTTTTGTAGTTCAAGGTCAAAATAAAGCTAAGGATTAGGCCCAGAGCTTAATTAGAGGGGTACTATAACTCTACAGATATTGAATTTTCACCTGGGTCATACCTGCTATGCCAAGATCAGTGCTCTGGTTGGGTAGGAAGAAAGTCCTGATTCTTAGGGTAGGGAAATCTGGGTTGATTCATTCAAAAAAATTTGAATCCCAAGATTCCTCTGAGCCTTCTGGGCTTGAAGAACTGACACACTCCTACCTGTTAAGCCAGATAGCTGTTAAAGGCTAATACTTCTTCCATTGCTTGAAGAAAATGCAGAAGCTTCTGACCTTAAAGACAACAGGCACTTTCCACACAATTATTCACCCTTGCTCACTCACCTTGAACCAATACCTGGTGAAAACTTGAGCCTGCAAAAGGAGAAAAAGAGCTCTATGCTAACACGTACAATCAAGATCCATGAGTCCCGGATTATGAGGGACCTAGATCAAGGGGGTGCATAGAGAATATAAAGATGAGTAAAAGAGGGTATGTCAATATGGGACTACTCCCCTATCATACAGATTAAACAACCTAGCAGAGTCTCTGAGAAATGGTGCTAACACACTACTAGGTTGGCTCTTGAAAGCCTTGAAAAAGCAGTCACACACCAAGTCAAGCAGAAATTCCAGAACTGCCATGGCAGACAATGGTGGAGAGAGGGGCATGCCACAGTGAATATGCTATACAAGGACAGAAAACCTACCAGCTCACTATGTTTTATGGGAGGGCCCAGAAAACACTGGAAGGAGAAACTCTAATATTTTTGAAAAGCTCAGTGGTGGCTGTCATCTGTAAGCCAAAGCTGATGGTAGGAAATGCAGTTACAGAACTGGGCTCTCTGAGAGCAATGCAGATAAAAGGATATTAGTATAATAAGAGCCAGGTGGCTGTGTTTAACTGTCAGCAGCAAGATGAGTACAATTTTAAAAATGAGCATCAAGGTCAAAGTGGCACCTAGGAGCAGAGGGTTATGGAATTGATTAAAAGAACACTGTTCTTTTAGAGGTGATAGAGATGGGCAACCAGCAAGGGTATTACTTAATTCATGTAATAAAAAAAATATATAAGTGTCCAAACGGCTGAGGACAATTGCCCTTAATATAATCAAGATTTCTTAATTTCTAGATTTGAGTCAATTTTCATACTCGGAACCATCGACTGAAGGAGAGGCTGGGTCACAATGAAAAAGACCCTGCAACAACAAGGCAATTAATTATATGTAGTGATTTTACCTCAGTCTTTCCCCAAAAGGACTTATGGTTATTTACTTGAATAACCATACACAGGAGAAAGAGGAATATTCAACTCAGATGTTTTTAGGACTATTGGATACAGGTTCTGAGTGGATGCTGATACCTGAGGACACAAAGCATCCTCTTCCCTCTGTCCCAAAAGAGGGGAGGTGTGTATTGTGGGGTGGGGTGGGCAGGTAATAAAGGGAATGGTTGCCAAGATTTGGTGCACTATGGGTCTATCAGGTCCATAGAGAAACCCAGAGGTCATTTGCCCCCAGTCCTTGAATCTAGGGAGAGTTTATTGATATGGGACATATCTGGTCTTAGAAGAACTCTCCGCATATTCCTTTGGGGAAGGGACCATAGTGGGAAAGGTGAAATGGCCTTCTGAAACTGCCGTCTTCTCATCAGCCAAGATGATACATCAAAAACAGTATCATATTCTGTGGGGAATGATGGGGATGACAGCTGACCTTAAAAACCTACCAATTACAGGTTGTACTGTTTCCCACTCAAAAGGAAGAAATTCTGCCATTTGTCAGAGATTTTAATGGTGCATCTGTTCCATCTACTTTGTGTACAGATAGAAGTTGTCTATGGTCAAACAGAGAGCCAAATCATGAGTGAACTCCCATTCACAATTGCTTCAAAGAGAGTAAAATACCTAGGAATCCAACTTACAAGGGATGTGAAGGACCTCTTCAAGGAGAATTACAAACCATTGCTCAATGAAATAAAAGAGGACACAAACAAATGGAAGAACATTCCATGCTCATGGATAAGAAGAATCAATATTGTGAAAATGGCCATACTGCCCAAGGTAATTTATAGATTCAATGCCATCCCCATCAAGCTACCAATGACTTTCTTTACAGAATTGGAAAAAACTACTTTAAAGTTCATATAGAACCAAAAAAGAGCCCACATTGCCAAGACAATCCTAAGCCAAAAGAACAAAGCTGGAGGCATCATGCTACCTGATTTCAAACTATACTACAAGGCTACAGTAACCAAAACAGCATGGTACTGCTACCAAAATAGAGATATAGACCAATGGAACAGAACAGAGCCCTCAGAAATAATACCACACATGTACAATCATCTGATCTTTGACAAACCTGACAAAAACAAGAAATGGGGAAAGGATTCCCTATTTAATAAATGGTGCTGGGAAAACTGGCTAGCCGTATGTAGAAAGCTGAAACTGGATCCCTTCCTTACACTGTATACAAAAATTAATTCAAGATGGTTTAAAGACTTAAATGTCAGACCTAAAACCATTAAAAACCCTAGAAGAAAACCTAGGCAGTACCATTCAGGACATAGACATGGGCAAGGACTTCATGTCTAAAACACCAAAAGCAATGGCAACAAAAGCCAAAATTGACAAATGGGATCTAATTAAACTAAAGAGCTTCTGCACAGTAAAAGAAATTACCATCACAGTGAACAGGCAACCTACAGAATGGGAGATAATTTTTGCAATCTACTTATCTGACAAGGGGCTAATTTCCAGAACCTACAAAGAACTTAAACAAATTTACAAGAAAAAATCAAACAACCCCATCAAAAAGTGGGCAAAGGATATGAACAGACACTTCTCAAAAGAAGACATTTATGCAGCCAACAGACACATGAAAAAAATGCTCATCATCACTGGCCATCAGAGAAATGCAAGTCAAAACCACAATGAGATACCATCTCACACCAGTTAGAATGGCAATCATTAAAAAGTCAGGAAACAACAGGTGCTGGAGAGGATGTGGAGAAATAGGAACACTTTTACACTGTTGGTGGGACAGTAAACTAGTTCAACCATTGTGGAAGTCAGTGTGGTGATTCCTCAGGGATCTAGAACTAGAAATACCATTTGACCCAGCCATCCCGTTACTGGGTATATACCCAAAGGATTATAAGTCATGCTGCTATAAAGACACATGCACTTGTATGTTTACTGCGGCACTATTCATGATAGCAAAGTCTTGGAACCAACCCAACTGTCCATCAATGATAGACTGAATTAAGAAAATGTGGCAGATATACACCATGGAATACTATGCAGCCATAAAAAAGGATGAGTTCATGTCCTTTGTAGGGACATGGATGAAGCTGGAAACCATCATTCTGAGCAAACTGTCACAAGGACAGAAAACCAAACACCGCATGTTCTCACTCACAGGTGGGAATTGAACAATGAGAACACTTGGACACAGGGCGGGGAACATCACACACCGGGGCCTGTCATGGGATGGGGGAGGGGGGAGGGATAGCATTAGGAGACATACCTAATGTAAATGATGAGTTAATGGGTGCAGCACACCAACATGGCACATGTATACATATGTAACAAACCTGCACATTGTGCACATGTACCTTAGAACTTAAAGTATAATAATAATAATAATAATAATAATAATAATAAAAGAAGTGGTCTATGGTTATATTATTACAAATCTTGAAAAGCAGTGAGTAGTGTAGCTGATTGTTAAGGTGCCTGAAAGGAGAAAAATTACATAATCAATGAGGAAGTCTGGGAAACATGTATATGGATCTACAGGAGGGGGCACAACCTGTGAAGGTCTTTGCATTGCATGTTTACACCCACCAGAGATTATCCTCACAAAAGGGGCACCAAACACCAAGAAGACAGAATGGCCTATGCCGTTGATATGAGCCAGCCTCTGGCATTAGCCTTTAAAGTTGCTAGGACTATGGGATCATGAACAGAGTAGCCATAGTGGCAGGGCAGGATGCTATGCATGGGCCCAACAGCCAGCATGGGCTGTTATGCACCATGAATGTTACAGCTACATGTTGCTGATGCTGTATGTCCAAACTGCCATCAACAGAGACCAACACTGAGACCCCAATATGGCACCATTACTTCAGCACACTAACCAACTGGTGACAAGTTGAACTATTGCCACTTTGGAAGAGATAGAAATTTATTTTGCCTGGATTGACACATATGCCAGGTGTGGATTTGCTTCTATTCACAGTGCCTTGGCCATCACCACTATATAAAAGTGTATAAAGTGTTTGATCTGTTAACATAGTATACTGCAAAATGTTCCATTAGTCCAAATGACGAATTTTACAGCAGAGTGGGAACATAACCATGGGATGCACTAACCCTATCATATATTGCACAAACCAAAACTGCTGACCTGGTATAGTTACAGTGTGGCCTTTTGAATGCACAAATGACCTGTCAACTTAGAGATGACAATCTGTGATGATGGGGTAGCATTATCAGCATGCACTTTAAATCAGTAACTATTATATAGTTCTGGGTTTCCAGATAGAACACAACATTTTAGGGAGCCAAGGAGTGGAAGTAGGATTGACCCTTTTACCATCTTTCCCAGACTCCCACTTGGGGAATATGTGCTTTTTGTCCCTTCAAATGTCAGCTTTGTGGCTCTAGAGATTTTGGTTATCACAGATAAACTGTTGCCATCATGGACACAGTCAGAGTCTCAAGAAAAATTTAAGCTATGGCTGCTACTAAATTACTTCATGGTCCACATTCATAGACCAGTGTCAAGAAACACAGTCACGTGACTGGATAGGGAAAATTGGCCCTGGTTACCAGGAGGAGCTGTTACACAAAGTAGGAAGAGAAGAAATGTGGGTTCCTGGTATTCCTCTCAGATGTTTCTTGGCTCTTCCCTGCTCGATTTTATTAGCATACAAACAAGTGAAGCATATATGGCTTTAAAAGGGCATAATGACCAGAGACTGAGACACCCCTGGGATGAGAATCTTGGCGACCCAAAAAGGTAAGTCATCTTCGCCAGCAGAGATACTAGCTGGTGATGAGAAACATTTAGAATAGGTATAGTAGAGCAGCCAGAAAATGTGTATCACTTGTAGCCTCAAAACTAGTTGTAGTAGCAGGGGCCATACATTGTTTCACTAATCTTCCTTTCTTAGGTTTCCCTAAAACAAGGCACCAACCAGAATCTTGGAGGAGCATCCCCTAAATGGAGTAAGCATACTCTATAAAGCCAGTGGGTCTAAGAAGTACAGGGAACTGGAGACTGTAGTGGAAGTTTTGGTGCACTGCACGGAGGCCTCCTTTAGACTGAGACCCTTATACTCTCCCAGCCACCAGAGTGTGGGCTGCTGACAGCTCATAACTGAGTGTCACACGGGGTATTTCCCTGGCTCAAGTGAGCTGCCTCACCCAAATTATACCCCTCCCCATGAGCAGCCAGACCTCAATGACTGATCAATGCAGGGAAACAAAATTCCTGCCACCTTGACTTGATTCCTGACAACTCTGCAAGGCCTTCCTAATTCTAGAGCTCCCTGTAGCCTCAGTTGAGTCATCTATTGCAACTACATCACCATTTAACTTTTCTTGTTGTCCATTCCTGCTTCCCTCACTCCCTTATAAGTGTGGCTTCCAAGAGTATTTCCCGATATTTCTCTTGCATGCATCTCCAACTCAGAACCTTTCTGATTCTCTTTTTATTATTTGGAAACCTGCCCTAAGATACACTTGAGTGGGACTCTTAGCCGTAGTGGGACTCCTTCTTTTCTGTGAGATCAATCGCAGCACAAGTAGTCTCCCTTTAACCTTATGCATTCCATCTAATCCTTTGTTGGTAGTTAATGGGCTGTGGAAATATGGGTCTGGTTGTAAATTTCAAAACTGGAACATGACCTTGTAAACTAGCTTGGAAATCAGATAATTGGGCAATCTGTGGATGTGGAAGATATATGAGATAAATAGAGTGGAGGTGGCTTGTATAGATGAAGTCAAGCACAGGTCATGAAAATTGTAAATATACTAATATTTGTGTGATATTTGGCTAGAGGATTATGTACTCTGCTCTCTATTAATCAACTTCACAAATGCACGCGTGCACACGCACATACACACACACACAAACACACACACAAATGGATAACAAAGCAAGGCAAGTTGACATTTTGCTATTTGCTGTGACCTTTGCCACAACTTGAATGAAAAACTCTCATGAGCTACATATACCTTATGAAAGATTGCATGAGATTGGTTCAAATGGCTTTCAAATACATTTCCAGCACAAAGCCAAATCTGAATTTCATATCTTATCAATACAAGAAAAGGTCAACATAAAGTTTACCCCATAGATTCAGGGGAAATAGAGAAATAGAGATCATGTTTTCCCTGATGAGCAGAGCTAGCCTATTCTGCCAGAACCAGAACTTTCCCAGGTTGGGAAGACCATCTGGTCAACACGCTGGTTTCCAAATGATAGAACAGAAGGATGAAATAAATCTTGCTATTCTGTAGACAGCGTGCAAGAAACACTGGAAAGAACAAAGAGGTGTATGCAGGCCTTCTCTGTGAGTGGACTGGGTCCTTGCTAGCACTGGCTCTTTGGAGACAAGGCTCTATTCCCATCTGTTGTTGGTGAAAGTTACGTCTTTGAAATCTCTACCCTTAAGAGTCTAACAATACATTTCTATAAGTATATTACCAACCCATATCAAACTGACGGGGTGTCTTGTCCTTTATCTTGACTAATTTATAAAGAAGCATGAATGTGAGGGAGAAGGGTGTAAAGGTCAACCATGTTGAGTTGTATATTGGATGTTGTTGTATGTATGAAGAGTTGCAAAATAAAAATTAAGATGGTGTCCTCCGAATGTTGGACAACTTTGACCATCTGGGTCACCTAAATATAGATGTTATACTGCTAGTCTCTATGGGCTATGTATAGAGTTTTCAGTGTTGTTTCATGTGATGACAATCACTTTAAAGTTTGGCAGCTGAGTCTGCTAATAGGATGGGTTCTCTGTACAATGTAAACTTCTGGTACCTTTGGCTCAGAATTCCAGTCACCTGCCTGCTCACCTGTTTTCTCCTGTTAACATTCACTGAAGCCAAGCAATTGTAAAATTCTTCTGTTAAGACCTGTTGGAAACCCATGCCAACAATGGTAAGGTCAACTCAAAAGTATGGATAAGTTACAATTGTTAAAGAATAAAGCCCATCTACACTGGCTTGGACCAAACTTTTATGCTCGCCTCAGTCCATTAAATGGAAGAGTGCTCTGTCCTGCATTTATTCAAGCTTCCTCCACGCACTCAGTGTAATCCTGATTACTATTTTGTGATGGGATAGCCCATCTCCTTCTGGAAACTTTCTAGACAAGTGGATTTAGGGGCTGAAATTACACTCATACTTATGTTGGGGTCTTCTTCTTTCAGGGTGGGCTGTACTCAGGTGTAAAGATGTCAGTATTGATAGTGTAGGGCACTATTTAGCCATTTTATAATGTATACCTATTTCAAAATGTTGTAAACCATAAATATATACAATTTCTATTTGTTAATTAAAAAAGAAACAATTTAAATATACACATGCACAAAAGAAATACATAAAAATAGAAATAAAAGTTAAGAGAAACTATGGAAAGCTAGAGAAATGCTTCATTTTCCTCATGTTAAAAATTGTAATTATATATACTATAAAACATATATAATTCCTTTACATAATTATAACATCATTATTTATATAATTATATATAAAGGAATATACCAATAAATATATTTTATATACAGTTATATCACACACACACACAAACACACACACATATCAATACACCAATAAAAGAAAAACATCCTATCAGAAAAAAGCAAAATAAAACCCAGCAGACACCAAAGAAAAATGCAATACATAGACGGGGTCAGTGTTTTCTCTTATTGGTTAATTTCAGAATAGCATATTCACATATGTGTATGTGTATATATACATATGTGTGTGTCTGTGTGTATATTTGATACAGTACTATACTTACTAAATATATATAATTATATTTTTCATATATATGATTATACCAATATGAGAAAAATACCCTGTCAGAAAAAAATAAAATAAAAACCAGCAGGACCCCAATTGAAACGTAGCACAAATGAGTGGTCAGTGTATCTCGCTGGCCTTACACAAATAAAAGATTCTATGATAAATTCACAGATAATCTGATAATAAAAAGTACTCTCAATGAGGCAATCAGTGACTCCTTCTGCCATTCCTTCCCTAATTACTTTCGAAACTTAGTTATTATGAAAGATAAATTAGTTTTTTAATTTTTTTTTCAATTGATGGCTTTATAAAGAAAGCTCTTTGTTTAGCCGTCACTTCCTAAGACAAGATTCGGTATGGATCCGGTGGCAGTGAAGACCGTCCCTATATCTCCCCAGCAATGGAAGTATTATGGGGACTTCTTTATAGTAGAGGAGTAAGGCGGAATTCTGGAGTATTCTGGGGAGCCAGCTAGGGTGGCTATCTGAACCACAAGTGTGATGTTAAAAATAGAAAAATAAAAAGTAAACTTACTGTTTTAGCCAGTGAGATTTAGGGTTAATTTTTTTTCTTTATTGCGACCTAACCTAGATAAGCCTGACTACTTCAAATTCTTAATGAATAATGGAACCCAAAGTAAAGAGGAGAGAAAAAAGCTTGCAATACACATTTATTACTTGTTTTTCCTAAAGAGGGCTGGATATTATGGTAGATTACTAGGCATTTAAAAGAAGGCCCTACCTTTATTTGTTTACTTGAAACACTGGTCCATTGCACGTTTTTGCAGAGGAATGACCAAATTAAAAACACAACAGAGAAAAGCAGATGTTGAGGGCCCCAAGGGGATCATGTTATGTTACTTCATTTTCTAACTGAGTTTATTTTTCTGTTGCTGAATCTGGAGAAATCTGGGCAGATGTTTCCAAAAGGAGAAAAATAGATAAATATCCAGACATCTCAGCAAAGCAGGAAGCCAGGAAATCTAAAGAAGCCTTCAGCCTTCAGATAAATGGGAAAAGGTTGAATCCTCTGGAAGTGAGCTGGTGCATGTGTGAGTTGGGGGTGACTCTGGCTCTGACCCTGTGCCCCCTGGCATCACAGGTGGTGAGAAAAGCACAAAGGCAACTTGGATGAGATGTGGCTTGGAGCACTTTACAGGGGCCAGATTGTAAATTTATCCATTTAGGAGTGTCCTGCAGGGGTTCCCACCAGCTCTGTGGACAAAGCTAAAGCTGGAAGGAACAAAACCTGTCCATAAAAGTTCCTGTTATTGCCACTGTTTATTAAAGAGAGGTAATAAACAAATGTATTATGTGCTGTTTCCTACTCTAGATGCATTTCTACCTTTTTGACCCAAAGTGTGTACACATGTATGCAGTTATGATGGCCCAGATTTTATTCCTAGAGCCTCCTGTTTTTTTTTTTTTTTCTAGTGACAGTACACCTATTGGATGTACACAGGCCTCTGAATACTCTCCCAGCTCTTAAATATATCATTCTGTGATTAGAAGAGACCTCAAGCCTTTTTTGCCAGGAATTCAAAGCAGATGTTGCTCATTATTCTTTTTTTCAATAAAGAGATGAAGCAGTGACATTTCGATTACCTTTCTACACCAAAAGGTATTAGTTGAACAGGAGAAATTATTTATTCCTCATTAAAATTGGCTACCCAGAAACCCTAAATGTCATAACCATGACTTTGCACTACATTAGGGTGACTAATGGCAATATGTGGCACTAAATGACTTGAGTGACAAATTGTGGCTTCTTTGGCCAGGAAAAAAATCTCATGTTTTGGATTAGATGGCTTATTTTAGGTCAAAAAAAGAGGCAGGTGAATTAGCCAAGGCATCAAGGGATTTGAATGCCCTTAACTAAGTGGTCATTTTTGCAGAGTTCTTTATTTTTAAAAGACCTCGTTTACTCAAAATTTAACACTGTATTTGCTGGGAGAAAATGGCTACTATAACTTAAAGTTTATCCCCCTGCTGCCTGCTGTCAACTATAAAGCTCTGTTCTGAAAATCCAAGAAAGCACTGTAAAAAAACTTGAATTAAAATACTCTGGAACTCTAGTTGCGAATGAAGCCTTTCTACAGAGGAGCTGGGGTTTTACATCCCCTATCAATACTCCTGAAAATTAAAGGGTATGAGCTGGTTTAAAATTACAGATAGAAGTAATGGCGAAAGAGACAATTTGCATTTCTAGCGCAGGCAAATGCAGCTCATTTCCTTTTTATTTGGGAAAGTAAATCTTGCCAAAATTTGTCTTATTGGTAGAAATGCTTGTCAGAAAAAAAGAATGAAAAATAGTAGATTCCTTTTCTGCTCTCAAGGTATCTAAATGATGTACACAGATCCCACAGTCATTCATAGTTACTATGCCTATATCACAGATAAGGAAAATACTGAATGTTAAGCAGATCTTGTATGTTCTAAGAAAGAGAAGAGCATCTGCCTCTTTTTACCTGCAAGACCTATATCTTTTGTTTTTTTCCCTTTTCATGTCTTGGTTTGTAGAGTGATGTGGCAGTTCTTAGCCTGAATCCTGGGACCTCATTTACTTGAGTCAATAGTTACATTGCTCTGTGATTTATTCTCATTAGTTAAAAAAAGAAATGATGGTACAGTTATATTACATTACAGCCATTTAGAGATATAACTACTAACTTCAAAGTGCTTTAAGAAGTTTGGATGAAAGAAAATGCAATGGAAAGCAGAACATTATTGTCTGTTCTTTTGCATTTTTATCAGGTTTGAATAAAACCTCCTCTTCATGAAAAAGTAATAGCAGCTGAGAGTGATAGACATTTCCCTTAGAAATCTAAAGGATTTAAAAATAGATTATGTGTTATTAAAATGTGGAAAAGATTGCATTTAAAAATATTTTTAAAGTTTTTATGTATCAGAGAACACGATGACTTTGCAAACATACTTTCTGCACAAAGAGAGGATACGGGGCATTCTGGGTCTTAGAGTTTAGTCTGTCTCCAGATGGAAAATTGCCAAATAAAAGTTTGGTTCTGCTTTTACACTTTTGGTGGGAATGTAAATTAGTTCAACCATTGTGGAAGACAGTGTGGCAATTCCTCAAGGATCTAGAACCAGAAATACCATGTGACCCAGCAATCTCATTACTGGGTATATACCCAAAGGAATATAAATCATTCTACTAGAAAGACACATGAACACGTATGTTTATTGAAACACTATTTACAATAGCAAAGACTTGGAACCAACCCAAATGCCCATCGATGGTAGACTGGATAAAGAAAATGTGGTACATATACCCCATGGAATGCTATGCAGCCATAAAAAGGAATGAGATCATGTCCTTTGCAGGGACATGGGTGAAACTGGAAGCCATTATCCTCAGCAAACTAGCACAGGAACAGAAAACCAAACATCACGTGTTCTCACTCATAAGTAGAAATTGAATATTGAGAACTCATGGGCACAGAGAGGGGAACAGCACACACCAGGGCCTGTTGGGGGATGGGGGGTGAGTGGAGGGAGCTTAGAGGATGGGTCAGTAGGTGCAGCAAACCACCATGGCACACGTACACCCATGTAACAAACCTGCATGTTCTGCACGTGTATCCCCCCTTTTATTTTTTAGAAGAAATAAAACAAAAAACAACAAAAAAAGTTTGTTTCTATGCATAATCACTGATGCTTTCTCCTCACCTCTTCCTGCATGTAGCTTCTTGCAGTATCTCTTCTTTCCCCAGCATGGCATACTTTTCAGCTTCATTCTGTCCATACCAATATAATCCCTTCATCAAGCTCAGGTTGTTGCCCTTGCTGATAGCCCCTTTCTAGAGTTTTCTGATCTTCAGTAATCTCTCCTGGAAGCAGTTATTTCACCAGCATGCACACTGCACCCTTGAAAATTTTTATTGTTTTTATTCTTTTTCATTATGTTAGTTTTATCTCCTTGACATTATCAGATGCTCATAGGAGCAAAGGTCATATTGCATTCCCCTCTAGATATATCCTGAGATAATATTGTTATTTCATACAGAATAATAGTTACATTTGGCTACTGATAACATTATATACAATAGGATGGGAGTAAAGCAAAAGAATAAAATACCAAAAATGTCTTCCAATAACATTAACATAGAAAACAAAAAAATGCAATTAGAGACTTCAGTTCTCATTTCTAGAGCTGATCAGAACTGTATTTATGACTTTTCCCTTTCCTCATTGATTCCAGTTTCCCTTTGCCTCTTATCAGGACCTCAGTGGGTCAAAGCACTTTATTGGTGCAATGACCCTTCTCTCAGTTCTTCATGGGCCTGAATCTTCAGTGATCCTGCCTGCCTGGGTGCCAGTGGTCTTCCATTTGCCTTCATCACTAGGCCTGGAAGTGTAGTTAAGTCCACCAGTCTTCTAGGTAGTTTTTGGCTGTTTTCATAGTGGCTTGAACAATTTGAAATGACCAAGTGTTTTGTCTCAGCTTTCAATTCAGTGAAGCCATTGATTTTTCTTTGGTGGGAGACTCTCTCTGGATGACTAAAACCTCAAAATAGCAGCACAAGTTGAAAACCTGAGATAAGAATATTGAGAGTGAGTCACTGTAAGATAGAGGTAAAATTCCCAGATTGACCAATGGTTCCCCTACCCGTGTATTTTGCTTAAGAGAGAGAGAAAAAAAGCAGCAGCTATTCAGCTTTGGTCCAGAGTAGACAATAAACCTCACAAAACAAAACCCAATTTGACAAAAATTGTCTCTTAACTGGTACCATTTAACTCTTGTCTATGACAATTAGGAAATTCCTCTGAACAGTAAAAAAGCTAAGAATGCAGTTAACTAAGAATGTAGTTAGCTGTGAGTGACTGTGGCTTGAATGATAAAAAGGTTTATGTGACTCATTCAACAGGAGTCTGATGACAGATGGCTTTCGTGATGACATCAGGAACATTTCCATGTTTATGGGCCACCATCCTTAGCAATTATGCCTTCATCCTCATGACTGTGGCCTCATGGTTACAGCATATCTGCTGAAACACCAGCCATCATGTCCGTGTTCCAACTAGCAAGAAGGTTGAGGGAGGGAGGAAGAGGATGGGATCAGGAGAGCAAAAACTTTTCCCTAGAATCCCAACAGACTTCTGGTGTCATCTCATTGGTCTGAACTGTGTCACATGGCTCCATAGGAAATTTAATAACTACATGGTTAATGGTGCTGACAGAATTATGACAAGGAAGGAAAAAACATCATAATAAATCTTTATTTTAACAAGGACAAATTATTGCAATTTAGAGGTTCAGGAAAATGGACCTGTCACTGGGTGGTTTCTGGCTGGTTTCCTTGAACTATAGTGTGAGCTCTCAATCATTTTACTAGTATCAAATTGAGCACATTACTGTAGAAATAGCCTAATCCACCTTGGTGATGGGATCTATATGCAGCAGGCCCACCATGGCCTCCCTCCTTGTGAATTCATTAAGAGAGCACTAGGCTGCCTGGAAAGGGAGGATGACTGATATCCATCAAGTGACTGTCCAATCCACATCTTGTGGGACAATGACCACAAAATGTGTTTGAGTCTTACTATACCCACTGTAAAGAAAAAGGAGGTCAGACGTTAACACCTGGCCCTTCTATCCTTAACAGACATTCCTCTGCAGGGGGTGTGGGCCCATTCTCAGAGTTCATTCACATAACCTTTTCTCAAAATTTCATATCACAAACTCAAATGCATCTCTTTTCAAATTCTTGACCATGGAACCAAATCAATAGTCATATCCCAGGAAATCAAGGAGCTCATGTTGAACCTGTTCCTCTAGGAAAAGGGAGAGAAAAATTAAGATTATTCCATACTCCACAGTGTTTCACGGTAACCCCAAAAAAGACTTCCCATCTACAGCACTCTTCTTTCACCTAGTGCCTTCCTATATCACCTTTAAGCCAAGCCAAATGAAGCAATTCAATGATGAGCCAATAGGCGTCATCATGCCTCTTCATTTAGAGACTGTTTAATTGCACCAATCTCATCTATTTCCTCAGGAAGTGGTATTGATTTATATAATCTTTGGATAGAGAAGAGTTAAACCAATGAAGTCCACGAGGCCATTACTTCAAAAGCTAAGGGCCATTGTGGATATTCTGATAGTCTTTGAGGATATCCATTTCATTTATACATGGGGAAATTGGGGGAAGGATCACAAGATGTGTTTGAGTTTCACTACACCCACTACAAAAGCATGGGAGATCAGAAAGTTAACAAAAGAGAGTCTGATGAGTGGACCCATGACAAATTTTATTCTGGGACCCAGGTCTTAGTGTTACCTCAGAGGCAGTATCTAAAAGAAATCAGGAATGGCAGCCAACATGGCCGAATAGGAAGAGCTCCGGTCTACAGCTCCCAGTGTGAGCGACGCAGAAGACGGGTGATTTCTGCATTTCCATCTGAGGTACTGGGTTCATCTCACTAGGGAGTGCCAGACAGTGGGTGCAGGACAGTGGGTGCAGCGCACCGTGCGCGAGCCGAAACAGGGCAAGGCATTGCCTCACTCGGGAAGTGCAAGGGGTCAGGGAGTTCCCTTTCCTAGTCAAACAAAGGGGTGACAGACGGCACCTGGAAAATTGGGCCACTCCCACCCTAATACTATGCTTTTCCAACGGGATTAAAAAACGGCGCACCAGGAGATTATATCCCGCACCTGGCTCAGAGGGTCCTACGCCCACGGAGTCTCACTGATTGCTAGCACAGCAGTCTGAGATCAAACTGCAAAGTGGCAGCCAGGCTGGGGCAGGGGCGCCTGCCATTGCCCAGGCTTGCTGAGGTAAACAAAGCAGCCAGGGAGCTTCAACTGGGTGGAACCCACCACAGCTCAAGGAGGCCTGCCTGCCTCTATAGGCTCCATCTCTGGGGGCAGGGCACAGACAAACAAAAAGACAGCAGTAACCTCTGCAGACTTAAATGTCCCTGTCTGACAGCTTTGAAGAGAGCAGTGGTTCTCCCAGCATGCAGCTGGAGATCTGAGAACGGGCAGACTGCCTCCTCAAGTGGGTCCCTGACCCCTGACTCCCGAGCAGCCTAACTGGGAGGCACCCCCCAGTAGGGGCAGACTGACACCTCACACGGCCGGGTATTCCTCTGAGACAAAACTTCCAGAGGAACGATCAGACAGCAGCATTCGCGGTTCACGAAAATCCGCTGTTCTGCAGCCACCGCTGCTGGTACCCAGGCAAACAGGGTCTGGAGTGGACCTCTAGCAAACTCCAACAGACCTGCAGCTGAGGGTCCTTTCTGTTAGAAGGAAAACTAACAAACAGAAAGGACATCCACACCAAAAACCCATCTGTACATCACCATCATCAAAGACCAAAAGTAGATAAAACCACAAAGATGGGGAAAAAACAGAGCAGAAAAACTGGAAACTCTAAAAAGCAGAGCGCCTCTCCTCCTCCAAAGGAACGCAGTTCCTCACCAGCAACGGAACAAAGCTGGACGGAGAATGACTTTGACAAGTTGAGAGAAGAAGGCTTCAGACGATCAAAGTACTCCGAGCTACAGGAGGAAATTCAAACCAAAGGCAAAGAAGTCAAAAACTTTGAAAAAAATTTAGACAAATGTATAACTAGAATAACCAATACAGAGAAGTGCTTAAAGGAGCTGATGGAGCTGAAAGCCAAGGCTCGAGAACTACGTGCAGAATGCAGAAGCCTCAGGAGCCGATGCGATCAACTGGAAGAAAGGGTATCAGTGATGGAAGATGAAATGAATGAAATGAAGTGAGAAGGGAAGTTTAGAGAAAAAAGAATAAAAAGAAACAAACAAAGCCTCCAAGAAATATGGGACTATGTGAAAAGACGAAATCTACATCTGATTGGTGTACCTGAAAGTGATGGGGAGAATGGAACCAAGTTGGAAAACACTCTGCAAGATATTATCCAGGAGAACTTCCCCAATCTAGCAAGGCAGGCCAACATTCAGATTCAGGAAATACACAGAACGCCACAAAGATACTCCTCGAGAAGAGCAACTCCAAGACACAAAATTGTCAGATTCACCAAAGTTGAAATGAAGGAAAAAATGTTAAGGGCAGCCAGAGAGAAAGGTCGGGTTACCCACAAAGGGAAGCCCATCAGACTAACAGCGGATCTCTCGGCAGAAACTCTACAAGCCAGAAGAGAGTGGGGGCCAATATTCAACATTCTTAAAGAAAAGAATTTTCAACCCAGAATTTCATATCCAGCCAAACGAAGCTTCATAAGTGAAGGAGAAATAAAATCCTTTACAGACAAACAAATGCTGAGAGATTTTGTCACCACCAGGCCTGCCCTAAAAGAGCTCATGAAGGAAGCACTAAACATGGAAAGGAAAAACCAGTACCAGCCACTGCAAAATCATGCCAAATTGTAAAGACCATTGAGGCTAGGAAGAAACTGCATCAACTAACGAGCAAAATAACCAGCTAACATCATAATGACAGGATCAAATTCACACATGACAATATTAACTTTAAATGTAAATAGACTAAATGCTCCAATTAAAAGACACAGACTGGCAAATTGGATAAAGAGTCAAGAGCCATCAGTGTGCTGTATTCAGGAAACCCATCCCACATGCAGAGACACACATAGGCTCAAAATAAAAGGATGGAGGAAGATCTACCAAGCAAATAGAAAACAAAAAAAGGCAGGGGTTGCAATCCTAGTCTCTGATAAAACGGACTTTAAACCAGCAAAGATCAAAAGAGACAAAGAAGGCCATTACATAATGGTAAAGGGATCAATTCAACAAGAAGAGCTAACTATCCTAAATATATATGCACCCAATACAGGAGCACCCAGATTCATAAAGCAAGTCCTGAGTGACCTACAGAGAGACTTAGACTCCCACACAATAATAATGGGAGACTTTAACACCCCACTGTCAACATTAGACAGATCAACGAGACAGAAAGTTAACAAGGATACCCAGGAATTGAACTCAGCTCTGCACCAAGCCGACCTAATAGACATCTACAGAACTCTCCACCCCACATCAACAGAATATACATTTTTTTCAGCACCACAGCACACCTATTCCAAAATTGACCACATAGTTGGAAGTAAAGCTCTCCTCAGCAAATGTAAAAGAACAGAAATTATAACAAACTGTCTCTCAGACCACAGTGCAATCAAACTAGAACTCAGGATTAAGAAACTCACTCAAAACCGCTCAACTACATGGAAACTGAACAACCTGCTCCTGAATGACTACTGGGTACATAACGAAATGAAGGCAGAAATAAAGATGTTCTTTGAAACCAACGAGAACAAAGACACAACATACCAGAATCTCTGGGACACATTCAAAGCAGTGTGTAGAGGGAAATTTATAGCACTAAATGCCCACAAGAGAAAGCAGGAAAGATCCAAAATTGAAACCCTAACATCACAATTAAAAGAACTAGAAAAGCAAGAGCAAACACATTCAAAAGCTAGCAGAAGGCAAGAAATAACTAAAATCAGAGCAGAACTGGAGGAAATAGAGACACAAAAAACCCTTCAAAAAATCAATGGATTCGTGACCTGGTTTTTTGAAAGGATCAACAAAATCGATAGACCGCTAGCAAGACTAATAAAGAAGAAAAGAGAGAAGAATCAAATAGACACAATAAAAAATGATAAAGGGGATATCACCACCGATCCCACAGAAATACAAACTACCATCAGAGAATACTACAAACACCTCTATGCAAATAAACTAGAAAATCTAGAAGAAATGGATGAATTCCTCGACACATACACCCTCCCAAGACTAAACCAGGAAGAAGTTGAGTCTCTGAATAGACCAATAACAGGCTCTGAAATTGTCGCAATAATCAATAGCTTACCAACCAAAAAGAGTCCAGGACCAGATGGATTCACAGCCAAATTCTTCCAGAGGTATGAGGAGGAACTGGTACCATTCCTTCTGAAACTATTCCAGTCAACAGAAAAAGAGGGAATCCTCCCTAACTCATTTTATGAGGCCAGCATCATCCTGATACCAAAGCCGGGGAGAGACACAACCAAAAAAGAGAATTTTTAGACCAATATCCTTGATGAACATTGATGCAAAAATCCTCAATAAAATACTGGCAAACCGAATCCAGCAGCACATCAAAAAGCTTATCCACCATGATCAAGTGGGCTTCATCCCTGGGATGCAAGGCTGGTTCAATATACGCAAATCAATAAATGTAATCCGGCATATAAACAGAACCAAAGACAAAAACCATATGATTATCTCAATAGAGGCAGAAAAGGCCTTTGACAAAATTCAACATTACTTCATGCTAAAAACTCTCAATAAATTAGGTATTGATGGGATGTATCTCAAAATAATAAGAGCTATCTGTGACAAACCCACAGCCAATATCATACTGAATGGGCAAAAACTGGAAGCATTCCCTTTGAAAACTGGCACAAGACAAGGATGCCCTCTTTCACCACTCCTATTCAACATAGTGTTGGAAGTTCTGGCCAGGGCAATTAGGCAGGAGAAGGAAATAAACGGTATTCAATTAGGAAAAGAGGAAGTCAAATTGTCCCTGTTTGCAGATGACATGACTGTATATCTAGAAAACCCCATTGTCTCAGCCCAAAATCTCCTTAAGCTGATAAGCAACTTCAGCAAAGTCTCAGGATACAAAATCAATGTACAAAAATCACAAGCATTCTTATACACCAATAACAGACAAACAGAGAGCCAAATCATGAGTGAACTCCCATTCACAATTGCTTCAAAGAGAATAAAATACCTAGGAATCCAACTTACAAGGGACGTGAAGGACCTCTTCAAGGAGAACTACAAACCACTGCTCAAGGAAATAAAAGAGGATACAAGGAAATGGAAGAACATTCCATGCTCATGGGTAGGAAGAATCAATATCGTGAAAATGGCCATACTGCCCAAGGTAATTTATAGATTCAATGCCATCCCCATCAAGCTACCAACGACTTTCTTCACAGAATTGGAAAAAACTACTTTAAAGTTCATATGGAACCAAAAAAGAGCCCGCATCACCAAGTCAATCCTAAGCCAAAAGAACAAAGCTGGAGGCATCACGCTACCTGACTTCAAATTATACTACAAGGCTACAGTAACCAAAACAGCATGGTACTGCTACCAAAACAGAGATATAGATCAATGGAACAGAACAGAGCCCTCAGAAATAACGCCGCATATCTACAACTATCTGATCTTTGACAAACCTGAGAAAAACAAGCAATGGGGAAAGGATTCCCTATTTAATAAATGGTGCTGAGAAAACTGGCTAGCCATATGTAGAAAGCTGAAACTGGATCCCTTCCTTACATCTTATACAAAAAGTAATTCAAGATGGATTAAAGACTTAAATGCTAGACCTAAAACCATAAAAACCCTAGAAGAAAACCTAGGCATTACCATTCAGGACGTAGGCATGGGCAAGGACTTCATGTCTAAAACACCAAAAGCAATGGCAACAAAAGCCAAAATTGACAAATGGGATCTAATTAAACTAAAGAGCTTCTGCACAGCAAAAGAAACTACCATCACAGTGAACAGGCAACCTACAAAATGGGAGAAAATTTTCGCAACCTACTCATCTGACAAAGGGCTAATATCCAGAATCTACAATGAACTCAAACACATTTACAAGAAAAAAACAAACAACCCCATCAAAAAGTGGGCAAAGGACATGAACAGACACTGCTCAAAAGAAGACATTTATGCAGCCAAAAAACACATGAAAAAATGCTCACCATCACTGGCCATCAGAAAAACGCAAATCAAAACCACAATGAGATACCATCTCACACCAGTTAGAATGGCAATCATTCAAAAGTCAGGAAACCACAGGTGCTGGAGAGGATGTGGAGAAATAGGAACACTTTTACACTGTTGGTGGGACTGTAAACTAGTTCAACCATTGTGGAAGTCAGTGTGGCAATTCCTCAGGGATCTAGAACTAGAAATACCATTTGACCCAGCCATCCCATTACTGGGTATATACCCAAAGGACTATAAATCATGCTGCTATAAAGACACATGCACACGTATGTTTATGGAGTCATTATTCACAATAGCAAAGACTTGGAACCAACCCAAATGTCCAATGATGATAGACTGGATTAAGAAAATGTGGCACATATACACCATGGAATACTATGCAGCCATAAAAAATGATGAGTTCATGTCCTTTGTAGGGACATGGATGAAATTGGAAATCATCATTCTCAGTAAACTATTGCAAGAAAAAAAACCAAGCACCACATGTTCTCACTCATAGGTGGGAATTGAACAATGAGAACACATGGACACAGGAAGGGGAACATCACACTCTGGGGACTGTTGTGGGTTCGGGGGAGGGGGGAGGGATAGCATTAGGAGATATACCTAATGCTAAATGAGGAGTTAATGGGTGCAGCACACCAGCATGGCACATGTATACATGTGTAACTAACCTGCACATTGTGCACATGTACCCTAAAACTTAAAGTATAATAATAATAATATAAAAAAGAAGTCATAACTTACAGGATTTTCTTTTCACCTTGGTTAAGGGCAGGCATGAAGTTCATATTACAACAGATGGTGGTAAAAGAAGGAGGTTCTCCACAGGTACCCTGTATTTCTTTCTTACAAGCTGCTGTGTGCCTGAGAACTGAGTGTATCTGGTGCCTAGAGAGGCCATGACTCTCTATGGGGTGCTTGAGTCAAGATTCAGGTGTAGGTTCTACCTAACACAAAAAACTATCCGCTTAATGCCAACATACCCAATATTAAATCGCCACAGGTCTATTCTGCAGGTCAGATCATTCTCCAACATCAGATTTCCAAATTAGGAGCTCCACCTATTATTACAATTATACCCCCTTTGCTTCCTGCTTTTGGTTTTCTCCATTTTATTTGGATCCTCTATAATCAACACTTGCAGTGTACTAAGCCCAGTTATTGAATGCATTTTAAAGATTGAGTTGCTTCCCTCCCCATTCTATTCCTTAAGATAAAGAAGGAGGTCAACTTTTGGGCCTTCCTGAGGGACGGGTAAAAAAGTGGGTTGTTGCAGTAAGCCGAGATTGTGCCATTGAACTCCAGCCTGGGTGACAGAGCAAGACTGCGTCTCAAAAACAAAAAAAGTGGGTTGAACGTTCTAATCCAGTTTACTGTTCTCAAAATCCTTTAAGGCCCCTCTCTACATAAAACATGGATCTTCTGCCCTTTTGATGTCACGTGGTGTGATCCTTTGTTTGATCTCAGTTTGAATCAGCTACCAAGCAACCAGTTTGGACTCTAGCCAGCTGTCTAGGCCAGCACACAGCATGCGGACTCCATGGCACCTGCATCAATGGTGATTGCCCTCCAACCAAAGATTATATTCTGCCTTCTTGGGGCCAACATCTTCAAAATGTATGACATACATTTTCTTTACATTTTTAAAAATATAAATTAGGAAATGCCTGTCCTTCTGTCTGAAAATAACTCTCTCTTTCTAATTCAGGTGCCACATTTTACCCTTTGGACCACATTGAGGTCCAATGCAAGAATAATTAGCAATAATGAGAAGGTCTTAAAGGAAACTGTAAAATAAGAAGCATTTAAATATGGGTTCTTTAAGTCTTCTGAACCTTCACAGATAGCCAGTCTTATTGCAACTGCAAGGATGCCTCACTTTTCCAGCCAGCGCCTTAACGTTTACAACAAAGACCTAGTCAGGTTGTTATTTTGATTGGAATTACAGCCTAATTTAGCATATTACAGCATCAAGATCTGATTTTAGTTTCTGGATTTCCCAGACCTGTGTTGACAAGCAGTAAGGAATTCTTTTCAGATAGTCACATTATGACAAGGAAAGAACTATGAATTGAGAGTGAAGCAGGGAAAGGACATCACAAGAAGCAAGGAGACCAGAAGATTTTAATTTAATCTAGGATAGTGGCAATGGAAAGGAAGGGTATGGATAGTTTGAAGAGATGTTTGGGAAGTAGAAGGAATAGGACTTGGTGAGCATTGGATATGATGAGTAAGGAAGAAACAGGTTTCTAGCTTGTATAAACTGGATTGCTTTACTGAGGCAGAGGGCACAGGAAGAGGAGCGGGATTGGTAGGGAAATTGATGAAGTTAGCTTTAAACATTTTTGATTTGAGATGCTTACTAGCTTTTCTTCATGAGAACCTCAGGGAAAGTTTAAATTTTTGAATTCAAGTTCCTTAGCACATGGAGGAGAACAAGAAGGCGTGAGTCCTCTATCCCTTGTCAAGAAACAACATCCAGTCACTCTGACCCTGTTTTTACTTCTATTTAGACATGAAGGGGCTTCTTTCTAAAGATCTATGGACTTGTCTACTAATATTGATTCAATATTGCACACAATCTGGAATTTCCACATATGGAAACCTGCCTAGTACAGTCAGTCATTTTTATTAGCTTAGCCAAATTTTCCAGGCACCTCTAGCTGGTAGGGACTTGATGAATAAAAGAAAGGGAGATAATCTTGTACAATTCCTCACAAACCCTATGTTTCTAAAGCAGTTTCCCATTCTGATCAGTGAATCTGAAAATGCGGCTTCACCCTTTAGGGATCTCAGATGAGATTTCTTTGCTTCAGTCCTAATTGTACCATGACTCTTTCCTGATTTTGAAACTAACAAAACTTTCCCCAAGCATAATCTACTTCTAAATATTTTCTCCTAGACACTGAAAAAGCCTGGAAGCTTCATCTTGCTGTTCCCTGAGTAACTCCACAATGTCAGAGAGAATGGCCCTGAATTCTGTTTTGGCTGCAGGTTCCCCATGGCTGGTCTTTAGCATTCGCAATTCACACAGGAAGCACGAGGAAAAATGCCACGTATTGTGAAAACTTGTGTTTCATTAATCATATTCCACCTTGGTGCATAAAAAAGGCTGACCTGTAAACACCATGCAAGACAATTTCAGTTCTTTGTATGTTTCACACAAAATATTTCTGGTAGTTGAACTTGTTTGGCTAATAAAAGTGGTTTGTCACTGATTTCTTTAAAAAGCCTACACAGCACAATTCTATTGGTGTTAGTGCCTGGCAACAGTTTTGGAGAGAGAATGAAATCTGGCTTGGCCGGAATTTATAGATTGCAAGCACAGTCTGAGAAAGGGCTATTCCCATGTTCTCCATCTCAAAAAGATTGCCATGTGATTTTGCCCCCACCAGGCCAGGATGCTGAGAGCCATGAGAGAAGTAGCCAGGAGAAACATTCAACATTCCTCTTCCTCGTTTCTTTTGGATTCAACTTTTCCTGAAGTACCTAGAGATAAAAATGACTTCCGTTGGTTTAGTAGTAGTATGTGGACAACATTCTTCTCAATTCTTTTTTTTTTTTTTTTTTTTTTTTGAGTCGGAGTTTTGCTCTTGTTGCTCAGGCTGGAGCGCAATGGCACAATCTCGGCTCACTGCAACCTCTGCCTCCCTGGTTCAAGCGACTCTCCTGCCTCAGCCTCCCCAGTAGCTGAGATTACAGGCACTCACCACCATACCTGGCTAATTTATTTATTTATTTATTTATTTATTGTATTTTTAATAAAGATGGGGTTTCGCTGTATTGGCCAGGTTGGTCTCAAACTCCTGACCTCAGATGATCCGCCTGCCTTGGCCTCCGGAAGCGCTGGGATTATAGGCGTGAGCCACCGCACCCGGCCCTTAATTCTTTTCTCTAAACTCTGAGCTATGCATTGTGTCATGGATTGACATTCAAGAGGTCAAGCCCAAAATATAACTCGTATGACTAGATTCCCCCAAATCAGTTCCTTTTTCAAAAGACTTTGCTTTTAAAAACAGAATACTTTTTAAATGAATTTTCTTGGAAAATTTTCTGTGGAAATGCATGGTGGGGGAGGTGGCGGTGGAAGGAGTCCTTACATCTACAATGAGTATTACATTCTGGATAAGATGTGTGGGTTTAAAAAAGAATATATATTTATAGCCAATGGCTCATAGAGGCATATTTTTGGGTCATACATACTAAACATGAAATAAATGTTGAGGAGCTTTAGCCAGGCAGCCTGATTCAGCCTTTTCTATGTACCATAGCACTGCTCAAAGTCATTCCAAGGTCATTTTTGGTCATTTTTGGATTTTCACAATCCAAGCCATTTTCTGCAAGGCCTTGAAGCTGATCTGTATGTAAAACCCAATTGAGTTTTTCCTTCTGTTCAGTGCCACTGAAACACAGAGGGGAAAAAAAACAAGTAATAACAAGGCCACACAAGTATGATAGTCTAGATATAGCACTAAACACTCTACTTACTTAATCTTCTTTACTCGTGAACAAAGGCAAGGACTCATGAAGTCATGACGTGCTGTACACGATCCTCGGCTAGGGCAGCATTTGTGTGTTGTTGTACACTGGGGTTATGGAAGGAAAATGTTGGTAGTTGAAGCTGGAAAGGTAAACTAGCTGACTGTTAAAAGACACTCATGACCCATGCTAATTACTCTGGCCCAAAAGGATTTTTTTTCTCCCCGTTTCTTCTTCCCTTCTCTTTGGTCCTTATCTTCTCATATTTCATTCTTTCTTTAGCTCCTGTTCTTTTATCAGCCTGTGACTGTGAACCCTCAGCCTCCCTGAGTCCCTGGGGCTCTGTATCTCTGCTCATCAGTCTTGGCCACTTCTAACCTGTTTGGTGTGAACTGTGTCAGGGTACCTGTGCTACACAAGGCATTGTTTTCTCCTGTAGGGATGATGCAAGAAGGTATTTGGGGAGAACTATATTCTGTCCTTGAAAGGCCCTAGGATGCTATATGCCTTCATAAAATCTTCCCTCAAGCTGTATTTCACACAGGGAGGTGGATACCTTGTGATACTGGCATTCTTCATTATAGTCCGCAGGATGATAGAGAAAGGCTCACCAAGGGGAGAAGATGCTGTAATGTATTTAGATGTAAGTGAGCAATTTAAAATACTCACCCTCTGTTTTTTCTCAAAAACTTATTTTGTAAATTATTTTTGGGGATGTTCTTCAGCTGAGGGTCACAGCTGTCAAGGTTAAGGGAGAACTGAGGCCCAAGAAAGGTGAATTAACTCAACTTTAGTGGGTTAAATAGTTAAATTGGACTATTAGTTCTGAGAGCAGCCAAGGAACTTGTAGATAATATGGTCCCTGAATCATTGCCGATAAGTCATAAAGGTAATTGGACTGCACATATCATGTGGAGCATATGAAGGTGGTAAAATGTGAATCCTGGGGCTACAGAGGTATGAGTGTGGCTTCTACTCCTGGTAAAATGCTATCTATGGATAACAGAAGGTGTGGCATATGAGGACTTAGAATGAAATTGTAAATACTAAAAGCCACATTCACTTTCACTTAGAATCCACATTAAACCAGGTGCCTTTTTTTTTTTTTTAATTTTGGAAAGCACTAGGTTAGTTAATCGGGAGAGTCATAAAAAAATTTCCCTTTTCAGCATGATATTTGACAGAATTTCAAGGAGGGGTTAGGAGTTCTGGTACTGGAGTCTTTGAGAGCTGAGTTGAAATCCCCATGCCATCATTGTCTGATCCAGCATTGTATTTGCTCTGTGTCCTAGTTTCTTTATATAAAAAATGAAAATAATAACATGGCCTATTTCATAGAGTTATTGCAAAGACAAAATGAGCTAATGCATGTAAACCTCTTAGAAAAATGTCTAGCACATAATAGACTCACAATGTGTAATACATGTTAGCTGTTATCATAACTATGATGTGAGTGTTAGCTGTGTGTATTACCTGAAGAAATGTGGGCAGTACTCTGTGTTCCAGAGAATTAGAGCTCCTGGAAAGTGGTGGACCTAAAGAGTGCTGGTTGTTTAATTGATACCGACCTCAATGGAATTGTTTGGTTTGTATTCTTGGCCCTGACTCAACATTTTTGCTAATAATTTGCATTATGATAAAGGAGGTTAAGTGCTTACCAAACTTACAGCTAAAGAAAATTGAGGCAGAATAAGTAAGCTGACTGTTACGGCTGTAATGTAAAAAGAACTAAAAATTGAAAAGATGGCCCAAGCTTTATAAAATGCATTTTAATAAATCTAAATGTGAAGGCTTACATTTAGATTCCAAAAATTAGCCATATATTTCTAGGGTAAAGGACACCTGATTCAGAAATAACTCATAAAATTATGAATAAAACATCTTATGAGTCACTATAAAGAAAGGATTCTAAAAGCTAATGCAATCTTAGGCTAATGAATAGAACTAAATAATCATCTCCTTACACCATGCTCTGGTCTGGTCAGACCCTGGGGGAACACTGCATTTGGTTCCAGGTCATGTGGATCAGAAGGGACATGAGCATGCTGTTACTCTATGGAGACTGTAAGGAAAGTAGAAGCCAAGACAGTTGATCAATAGTTGAAAGAATGTTGGATAACTGGTCTGGGAAAGAGTAATCCTCAAAGATTTAGGATATCTATTGTAAAATATCTCGAAATACTGAATGTCAGGGAATACCGATTCAATATTTTTGCATAGCACCTCAAAGGGAAAAAGTAGTATACAAATGTGAAAACTGCAGTGAGCTAGATTTAATTTAACCATTAGGAAACACGTGGTAGAACATTGGAATGTCTACGAGTGGGAAGTGTTGTCTTGTAGAGCAGTGAGCTTCCTGTCAAGAGAAGTGTCTGTGTATGGGCAGAAAGACATCAGTGTTGGAGAACAGATTGTGTTAGATAGCATCTAGGGTTCTCTCCATGTTAAAATCCTTTGGATTTTAACCCAGTAGCCCTCACTGTCTGCTGAATCCATTGTGAATAAGGAGACAAATTTGAACATGATCAGTTATGAGCCAATTACTTAGTAGTGAAGGGAGAAATTCAGCCAAACAAAGCATGGAGCCCTGGAGATGCAACTCGCCACAGTAATAAGTAAGGGTTCAAAACAAAATCAAAAGGAGGCCCCACATAAAAACACCCTTCAGCCGAGCACAGTGGCTCACGCCTGTAATCCCAGTACTTTGGGAGTCTGAGGCGGGCAGATCACGAGGTCAAGAGATCGAGACCATCCTGGCCAACATGGTGAAACCCCGTCTCTACTAAAAATACAGAAATTAGCTGGGCGTTCTGGTGCTTGCCTGTAGTTCCAGCTACTCGGGAGGCTGAGGCAGGAGAATCGCTTGAACCCGGGAGACGGAGGTGCAGTGAGCAGAGATCCTGCCATTGCACTCCAGCCTGGTGACAGAGCGAGACTCTGTCTCAAAAAAAAAAAAAAAAAAACACCCTTCAAACGAAAAACATCTCAAGGATCTTGTTTAAGATTTGAGTAAAGAAATAAATCAGGGATGGTGGGGGGTAGGTAAGAAGGTGAATAGTTTGCAGTGAGTCATGAAACAAGGTCCAGAATAAGTAGATGGAATCAGTGTTAAGAGTACATTTAGGCCGGGTGCGGTAGCTCACACCTGTAATCCTAGCACTTTGGGAGGCCAAGGTGGGTGGATCACGAGGTAGGGAGTTTGAGACCAGCCTGGCCAACATGGTGAAACCCCATCTCTACTAAAAATACAAAAATTAACCAGGTGTGGTGGCAGGTGCCTGTAATCCCAGCTACTCGGGAGGCGGAGGCAGGAGAATTGTTTGAACCCGGGAGGCAGAGGTTTCAGTGGGCCGAGATCATGGCACTGCACTCCAGCCTGGGTGACAAGAGCAAGACTCCGTCTCAAAAAAAAAAAAAAAGTACATTTAAGGAGAAAAACAATCAACCTATACAGTATTCAGATATGGAAAGTGAGGAATGCCAGTGGAGCATAACAATTAGAAAAGTCAGAATTATTCTTCCTGAAGGAAACCAGCCTGTGCTCAGCCTACCCAGAGGAATGGAGCTTGGAGGACTTCTATTTGATTCCTTTTGGAAGAGTACCTTGAGGTGTGCCTTTTTCCTCCTTTTACCTGCCAGAGGTATAGACATTGTGCAGTTCTAGCTGAAAGACACATGCTGCTAGACATTCAAAGGGAGGAGAAAATAAAGCCAGCTCAAAAGAAAGAGTAGTTAAAAAAATTGTTTGAAGGAATAATTCCTTCCTATACTCTGCAAGAAAGGGATATTTTCGGAGACAAGAGTTTCCTAACAAAGGTGAATTAGCAAGGAGGATGCCAAGAGCAATGATCTAAGCAGCAAATAATTTGGAGACTGGTTTAAGAAGCTTGGGTTGAAGGATAATCCTCAGCTGATGCCAGTGCTAGGGAGTTCATTAATAAGAAGGGAAAGGGGACAAGTGGAATAGATAAAATCTACTTACAAGAAAGCATAGTTAATAGACAAAATAAAACAAGGCAGGTGTGTAATGGAAGTAGAAGCAATTAACTTTGAAATGGCAGGATTTGTCAGGGGAAAGGTAAGCAGACTGAATAATTTTGTTTGGAACAGGAAAAAAGGAAGGTGATAGAAAGACTGATAATTACAGAGTGAGAAGAATGTTCTTTTTCAGGATACAAAAGATTATTAGGAGACCTGGGTAAAGAAAGATGGCTCTGAAACAAACATGTGAAATAAAATCTTAAAATTCAGGATGATGGATGAGAGTTGCAAAGTCAATAGTGCAAGTTTATTGACTACCTACAATGTCACAGACACTATGCACTGATAAAGATGGCTTTTACTTAAGAAGCTCATAGTCTAGGTGAGAATAATAATAGTGTTTGTTGAGAGCTTCCTACGTGTCAAGTCTTGTGATAAATGATTAAAATATATAATCTCATTTAATCCTCAAAGTAACTCTTTCAGGTAGGCATAATACTATTAATATTACCACCATAGAGATGAAGAAATGGGCCAGGCATGATGGTGCATTCCTGTAACCCCAGAACTTTGGGAGGCCAAGGCAGGAGGATTGCTTAAGGCCAGGAGTTCAAGACCAACTTAGGCAACATGTCATGACTGTCTCTATAAAAAAATTAAAAATTAGCTAGGTGCGGTGATGTGTGCCTTTGGTCCCAGCTACTTGAGAGATTGAGGCAGGAGGATTGCTTTAGCTCAGGAGGTCAAAGATGCAGTGAGCTGTGTTCATGCCACTGCACTCCAGCCTGGAGCCTGGGCAACAGAAAGAGACCCTGTCTCAAAAAGAAGGAAGGAAGGAAGGGAAAGAAAGAAAAAAAGAAAAAAGAAAAGACAGACTGAGGGTCACATAGTATGCCTATTATAACACATCAAGAAACCAGTAAGATGAATTTGGGAACTTTGATTCTAGAACCTGTGTTTTTAACCATTGTTGTTTTTTGGCTCTTGGACAGAGATACCTTTAATTGGGTCATTTCAGGGGGCTAAAATTTTCAATACACTCAAGTATCTCCTTTGAGAGAGAGAGTAACACAGTACCTGAGATACCACCATTAGACATTTCCCCTTTAGGGTGAATTCATTGAGGAAGAGGAAATTTATTATACTATTCCTGACCACTGATTCCTTAGAATGTATCTCCATTTATTCAACAACCATTTTCTGAGTTCACTAGGTGCCAGAATTGTGTCATACATTATGGGTGCCAAGATAAATTAGATGTTTTCCCCACCCTGAAGCCTACCATGTTCAGGATACTGTCCAGTCCCCTGGTCCCAAGTCACTGTTCTCCTCTGGACTCCTGCAGAAGTTTCTGAACTGGTCTTTCCACTTTAAGCCCCTTCCATTAATTCCCATATGGCAGTCACTGTTGTCAGTTTACATGCACATCTCAGTTTGTGAATTCCCTGTTGGAATCCTCTGATGGCTTCCCACTGCCCTTGGGATTAAAACTCAAATCATAAAATGGCCTACAAGGTCTGATATAATCTGGCCTCTACCTAACTTTCTAGATTAACCTTGCTCTCCTCTGCCCCTTACTCTTCCGGTGTCTTCATGATATCATGGTTCTTCTCAAATTACTTTTGCCCTATTGGATATTTTTGGATCTCCTTTCCAGTGTCACCACCCCAGGTAGTCTTCATGGAGCTCACCCCCCAGTGCCCCCACACTAAGTCAACTCCTCCCTACCTATTTTATCTTGTAACTCCCTGTGTTTTTAGCTTCCAAGCATTTACTATGGTTCATGTGATTATTTGATTAATGTATGGCTCTTTTAGTAGACTTCATGAGAATAAAATTTTTGTTCTTTTCACATTTGTATCTTCACATGTAGAAGATACCTAAGAAACATTTATTTATTAATAGAATTAATGCATTTTTTTCTCTTGCTGAAAGATATTTGTTATTCTTCTTCACCAAGACCCCTACTCCTTTTGCTATCAATTCCCCACTCTCTTCACTCTCCTAACAGTATATACCTAGGCATGGCTTCTATTGCTTCATGGCTTGTGCATGTAGTCATATCTCTCTTTTGCCTTCGACTCCACTCTACTTTCTGTTCTCCTCTCTGTATATTTGACATCTAAACCCTCTGAGAGGTTCTTACAATGGTTCAATTAGTTATTATCCAGTATAGAGAAGCGTTCTGGGCATTTCACATACACTGTTTTGTAAACTGCCAGAAGGCCAATAGATGGCTGTGTTTGGGTCAGTTGCTGATTTCTGATCCAAATAGATATAGTCATGGTATCAGGGTTATAGAGCACCAATCACTGACATCTATGTGTAAGGAAATGCCTATACCATCTTCTTGGAAAGGTGTCTCGAATATGGCAAACTTCTGGAGCCAGCACTCAGCATAGCATTTGGAAATGTGTTACATTTAAGTAATCATTGAAAGATGAAGGATTGAATAAATTAAAAATGGCTGAGCTAAGGATATACAATAATAACATCAGGTCCTCATGCTTCAGTTAGAACTTACACCTCCTGTACAACTATTATGTATAAATAAAAAAATCAATGCATAAATATAATTTTACAAAGAACTTGTACTTCCTGATTACCTTCCCAGGGCTTATTTTCTACTATACCATTTTGTGTCCAATGATAAAATTAAATAATTAACTAGTCAATAGGTGAACATTTAGAGAAGTAATCAGACCCTAAATGTAATATTGTAAAGTACCATTTGTCTTTTTTATATATTTCTTGTATTGTTTCCTTGCTTCCCTTATTTATTGTTACTCTTTTTTAACTTCTAGACAAAGGTGGTATAATGGTTAATATTGGGTGTCAAGTTGACTAGATTGAGGGGTGTCAAGATGGCTGATGAAGTCCTGTTTTCGGGTATATTTCTGAGGGCATTGCCAGGGGAGACTGATATGTGAGTCAGAGGACTAGGAGGAAAACCCACCCTCATTGTGGATGAACATCTCTGAGTCGTCAAAAACTGTGAAGATATTTGTGTCCCATGTGAATACTTACCAAAGGATGACCTTGGCAGAAGGGGATTTTAATAATCAAATGGATAGAATGACCCTTTCCTTGGACACCACTCAGCTTCTTTCCCAGGCCAACCCTGTCATTGATCAATGGGTTCATAAACAAAGTTGCCATGATGGCAGGGATGGAGGTTATGCATGGGCTCAGCAACATGGACTTCCATTCACCAAGGCTGACCATGGTATAGCCACTGCTGGGTGCCCAATCTGCCAGCAGCAGAGACCAACACTGAGCCTTCAATATAACACCATTCCTCAGGATGATCAGCCAGCTATGTGGTGGCAGGTAGATTACTCTGGATCATTTTCATCATGGAAGGGGCAGTGGTTTATCCTTATTGGAATAGACATTTAATCTGGATATGAATTTGCCATTTCTGCACATAATGCTTCTGCCCAGACTACCATTTGTGGACTCAAAAATGCTTTATCAGCCACCATGGTATTCCACATAGCATTGTTTCTGACCAAGGAACTCACTTCACAGCCAAAAAAAGTGTGGCAATGGGCTCATGTTCATGGCATTCACTGGTCTTACCATGTTCTCCATCATCCTGAAGCAACTGGCTTGAAAGAATGGTGAAAAGGCCTTTTGAAGTCACAGTTACAATACCAACTAGGTGACAATACTTTGCAGGGCCAGGGCAAAGTTCTCCAAAAGGCTATATATGCTCTGAATCTGTGTTCAATAATGGAGCTGTTTCTCCCATAGCCAGGATTCACTGGTCCAGGAACCAAGGGGTGGAAGTGGAAGTAGTACCACTCACCATCATCCAGGAGCAAAATTTTTGCTTCCTGTTTCTGCAACATTATATGCTGCTGCCCTGGAGGTCTTAGTTCCAGAGAGAGGAATGCTGCCACCAGGAGACACAGTGACTCCGTTGAACTGGAAGTGAAGATTGTCACTGACCATGGTGTATATGTGCCACATTTTCTTAATGCAGTCTATCATTGATGGACATTTGGGTTGGTTCCAAGTCTTTGCTATTGTGAATAGTGCTGCAATAAACATACATGTGCTTGTGTCTTTATAGTAGCATGATTTATAATCCTTTGGATATATACCCAGTAATGGGATTGCTGGGTCAAATGGTATTTCTAGTTCTAGATCCTTGAGGAATTGCCACACTGTCTTCCACAATGGTTGAACTAATTTACATACGCACCATGGAATACTATGCAGCCATAAGAAAGGATGAGTTCATGTCCTTTGCAGGAACATGGATGAAGCTGGAAACCATCATTCTCAGCAAACTATCACAAAGATAGAAAACCAAACACCATATGTTCTCACTCATAGGTGGGAATTGAACAATGAGAACACTTGGACACAAGGCGGGGAACATGACACACCGGGGCCTGTCAGGGGGTCGGGGGCCGGGGGAAGGATAGCATTAGGAGAAATATCTAATGTAAATGACGAGTTGATGGGTACAGTAAACGAACATGGCACATGTATACCAATGTATCAAACCTGCATGTTGTGCACATGTACCCTAGAACTTAAAGTATAATTAAAAAATAAATAAAAGTGTCAGCCCTCTGGGCCCAAGCCTGCAAGTATTCATCTAGATGGCCTGAAGTAACTGAAGAATCACAAAAGAAGTTAAAATGGCCTGTTCCTTCCTTAACTGATGACATTACCTTGTGAAATTCCTTCTCCTGGCTCATCCTGGCTCAAAAGCTCCCCCACTGAGCACTTTGTGACCCCCACCCCTGCCAGCCAGAGAACAACCCCCTTTGACTGTAATTTTCCACCACCTACCCAAATCCTATAAAACAGCCCCACCCCTATCTCCCTTCGCTGACTCACTTTTCGGACTCAGCCCGCCTGCAGCCAGGTGAAATAAACAGCCATGTTGCTCACACAAAGCCTGTTTGGTGGTCTCTTCACACGGGCGCGTGTGAAAAAAAGAATATCTTGGGGACTTGAGAATAGTGTTAGAACATGAAAAATGCTGGAGGGCCTTCTAAGTCAAAGAGTAATTTTGAACCTTATCCAAAATGGCAATGGTAAGCCACTAAAAGGCTGAATTGTGAGAGCTGATTGTTAACAGAATATCTGTGAGCCAGTTGTTAAACACAGCCATTATTAAAATTAAATTATATAAATTTGCAATTAAATAAATTAAAATGAAAACTAATAAATACCAACCCCCCACCCCACCACCACCAAAAATATATATATATATATATTTTTACTGACCACTTTGAGTTCCTCATACCTCTAAGTCAACGGATAAGAAGGGAGTTACAGTGCTGGCTGGGGTGATTGACCCAGACTATCAAGATGAAATCAAACTATTACTTCACAGTGGAGATAAGGAAGAGTATGTCTGGAATACAGGAGATCCCTTAGGACATCTCTTGGCATTACCCTGTAATTAAGGTCAATGGGAAACTACAACAACCCAATCCAGGCAGAGCTACAAATTGCCCAGATCCTTTAGGAATGATGGTTTGGGTCACTCCACCAGGTAAAAAACCACAACCAGCTGAGGTGCTTGCTGAAGACAAAGGGAATACAGAATGGGTAGTAGAAGAAAGTCATTATCAATACCAGCTATGACCATGTGAGCAGTTACAGACATGAGGACTGTAATCGTCATGAGTATTTCCTCCTTATTTTGCTAAGAATACATTGATGTGGCTGGGCACGGAGGCTCACGCCTGTAATCCCAGCACTTTAGGAGGCTGAGGCAGGCAGATCACAAGGTCAGGAGTTTGAGACCAGCCCAGCCAATATGGTGAAACCCCATCTCTACTAAAAATACAGAGAAAAAATTAACCAGGCATGGTGGTAGGCGCCTGTAGTCCCAGCTACTCTGGAGGCTGAGGCAAGAGAATCGCTTGAACCCATGAGGCAGAGGTTGCAGTGAGCTGAGATCACACCACTGCACTCCACCCTGGGCGACAGAGCAAGACTCCATCTCAAAAAAAAAAAAAAAAAAAAAAAAAAAAAAGAATACATTTGTGCACATATACACCTGTATTAAGCAAATAACTTTGCTTTATTTCCTTTCTCATTTCTTTATCTTGTAACATAAAGTTTATTGACTACATATCAGCATTTAAATGTTGTTAATTTTAGGTAATAGTATTTAAGGACTAGCAAGTTTTTGGTTGTATGAAGGATAGTTGTATTATGTTAGGTGGAATTATAACCTTGTTATTGGCTTTATTTGGAGATTAAGAATGATTTAAGGAGATGTCTATGGGTGCCAAGTTGACAAGGGGTGGGTGGACTAGTAATTGTTAATATTAGATGTCAACTTCACTGCACTGAGGAATACCTAGATGGCTGATGAAACATTGTTTCTGGGTATGTCTATAAAGGTGTTGCTAGAGGAGATTGACATTTGAGTTGGTGTACTGGGAGAGGAAGGCTTGCTCCCAGTGTGGGTGGGCACCATCCAACTGGTTGCCAGTGCACTGTCGACAAAAATAGTCAAACTGTAAAATATTTGAAGAGATTTATTCCGAGCCAAATATGAGTGACCACGGCCCATGACATAGCCCACAGGTGGCCCTAAGAACATGTGTCCAAGGTGGTCGGGGCACAGCTTGATTTTATACATTTTAAGGAGGGATGAGACATCAATCAAATACATTTAAGAAATACATTGGTTTGGTGCAGAAAGGTGGGACAACTCAAAGCGGCAGGGGATGTGAGGTGGGTGCTTACAGGCTATAGGTAAATTTAAATATTTCCTGGTTGACGGTTGAGTTTGCCTACCTGGGATGATAGAAAGGAAATGCAGGTTAAGATAAAAGATTGTGGAGACCAAGGTTCTTTTGAAGTCTTATAGTGGCTGCCATTAGAGACAATAAATGACAAGTATTTCCTGTTCAGACCTTTAAAAGGTGCTAGACTCTTAATCTCTTCAGGATTGGGAGGGCCTGGAAGAAAAAGATCTGGCTGTGTTAACAGAGAGTCTTTACAGATGCGAGTTTTCCCCAACAGATTGGAGGGCCATTTCAAAATATGGCAAAGAGGCATGTTTTGGGGTAAAACATTTTGACGTTCTTCTTTGTCACATAATGTTATGCCAGAGTCAGATTGGAAAGTAAGTCACGATATATAGGGTTAAATAAAACCTATCTGATGAGAATTTATGGTTTGTAGGGCATAACTCCCCAGACCCCTTTAGATAGCAATTTGGGCAAGATAAAAAAAAATCAGAGTATAGTCCTCAGTGGCTAGAACAAGACAGGTAGAAGAAGGGGGATAAGTTTGCTCGCTGAGTTTCCTTGTTCTTTCTTTTCCTTTGCTGGACACTTTGCTTCTTCTCCTCCTGCCCTTGGAAATCAGACTCCAGGTTCTTCAGACTTTGAACTCTTGCACTAGCAGTCTTGTATGGGCTCTCGGGGCCTTCAGCTGCAGATTGAAGGCTGCACTGTCAGCTTCCCTGGTTTTGAGGCTTTCAGACTTGGACTGAGCCACTACTGGCTTCTCTCTTTCCCCAGTCCGCAAATGGCCTGTCATGGGACTTCACCTTGTAATCATGTAAGCCAATTCTCCCTACTAAACTCCCTGTTATGTATACATATATCCTATTGGTTCTGTCCCTCTGGAGAACCCTGACTAATAACCTGAGGTGGTTGGAGGCTTTCCCTGGATGGAAAAAGTCATCTCCACCATCTTCCACTCACTGGATTACTTACCAATTCACTGTGCAGGAAATTTTGGTTTTCTGAATATGTCATGTTTCTTAGTACAGATTATGGGAGTTTTTCTGGATTCTACAATTTATAATACCACCATATTCCATGGCAATACAATTTTAAAAAAACAAGTAAGGGAAAATAAAAACTTGCTTAATTATATATTTTTAAAGACATTTTGAGGTGGGCAGATGAAAAAAACAAAAACTTCTGCACAAACAAATGTCTAGTAAGAACTTAGGAGGCCCTAAAATAAGTGACACACAATGAGACTCCATCTGCAATTAATATGCTGAGGTCATTCTCTGAATAATGTATTTTTTACAAGGATTTTGTTGACATTTAAGATAAATGAGGTTATTGGGGTCTTCTTTTGGGACTAAATTATCCTGGATTGCACGGTCACAGTGTAGAAGCAATACACTTAGCTCGGTTTTTTTGATTCTCCTCTCTTGAACTTTGTTTTGTGGGAATTCCGAAGTTGCTCTTGAGAGTTAAACTTTTTTTTTTTTCTCTTGCACAAGGGAATAAACCCAAGTACAGCCTTTGGGGCAAATAGTGGACTTTTTGTTCTCCCATTGAAGGCCTCTGGGATTGGTGGCTGATCAATCACTCCTGGTCCGATCCACAGACAAAAGCCCTTCTGATTGGCTGTCACTGGGTCAGGTTCCCACCCTGCCTTATCTCTGTCGCACCCTTGTAGGCTAACAATAAGACTGGGTGTAGGGCGTGTTAGTTTAGAGAGATAGTGTGGCTTAGACTGAGTCTGCCCGGTACCTGCTAAGGTCTGTATTTTACTCTAGTGATGTCAAGTGAGACAAGAGCTGGAAAAGCACTTTCCGAAGACAAAAGTTCTACGTATGGTGGAGGATACAGCAAACAAGAACGAATGCTGTCTATGGATAGGACTAGTGTGATTTTAGAAACTCATATGCTATAAGCTGAAGAATTTGAGGAAATCCTTTTTCAGGCTACTTTAATTGATGTCTTTGTGAACATAACTTTTACACGATGAGCATGCAAAAAGTGTGGGTTACTGCATCTAAGAATTGAGCTATATTAAGGTAAAAGGTTCACCTGGCTTACAAAATGATAGAGAAGAGTAGTTAGCTGATAAATGTGTAACTTTTGCATTTGCTAAGAAAGAATGCAGACTCCAAATAGAGCACATTTGAGATGTGCCCCAACCATTGTATTTAAAAGGGGAGGAAATCGAAATTCAAGAGGTTGAGAAACTTGTTTTATGCCACGTAGAAAGTTTGTGGCAGAACCATATTATAAACTCAGATCTTCGAACTCCTGGTTGCCATGAAAGGAGTACCAGCCCAGTTATCTGAGACCTGGATTCAAGTCCTGGCTGTACAGCTTACAGTGTGTCACAAAAGCTTTCTAATCCTACATTACAGAAATAAGTAATCTACTTTGTCTGCTTCCCAGGGTGGCTATAAGGATAATATTTACCAAAGTATTTTGCCAAGAGTTATATAAGTGCAGAGTTATGTTGCTTAATTCAAAGTATAATCATTTGATATCACCTATCTGATAAGGCCAACTTTGTAAACAATAAAATCATGGCAATGAAAACCTATTTTGTCATTTTCTTTTACCCCTTGGAGTCTGGCAATAGTACTGGCAGATGCTGTGTATAATAAAGCTGATTTATCAAAGAGTGTAATTTGTGAAATTCAAATGTACTTGTGACGACAGTTTGCTTTAAAAAATCTTGCTTTCAAAGAAAATATGCAAATAGACCATAATCCAAAATTAATGTTCTTCATTAATGTTTTTCATGTCATGGATAATGACTTTCCTTTTAAAATGATAAAGGAGGTAAATAATTTCTTGCTTGACAGAAAATATTCTGCATTACCAAATCACAAATTTTGCCCTGATTTCAGGTCCAGACTCAAATCAGTGTAAATTTTCCAGGACTTTACCACATTCATCATTGATGTCTATTCTAGTTCTTTGTAAACCCACCATAAGTTTATTGAAAAACTACTATAGAGTAATCCTTGTCCTTTTCAAACATTTAGATAGACAACATTTACCATGTCACTATTTTCACAGGCTTGGCAAAGATATGCTTTAGAATTGTAAGTATTGTCATACAGAGATTTATTGAGTTGAAATTCATATGATGTGAAATCAACCATTTTAAAGTGTACAATTCAGTGGCATTAAGTACATCACAATGTTAGGCAACCACATGTCTATAATTTCAAAACATTTTCATCTCCCCAAAAGAAATCCATTACCCATTAAACAGTCACTCTCCAATCTACTTTCCACCATCCCCCTGGAAATCACCTATCTCTTCTCTGTCTCTATGGATTTACCTATATGATCCCATCTTATTGGCTTATATTGTTATGTCTAGCAATTTCTTCTTTAACTTCATACTGGTTCTGAGAAAGATGGTCAGTTTGTATTTTCATTTGTGGCTACAAAATGGAAGTAGAATTAAAAAGATGGTAATTGACTTGCCACAGTCCACTCAGAGAGGCATTGGCTGACAGTCCCAGAAATGTAATAGACCATGACAGATTACTTGTGTACTCACCAAGGAGAGGATTACAGGTTAGCCTCTGTCTCCTTATTCAGACTAGCCAATATCAGAATGTGTTACTGAGTCCCTAGCTTGAATAGGATGGGTAACAATGTTCGTTCATTCATTCATTCATTCTTTCAACAAAGAATGAGTGCCTAGGATGTGTAAGTTCCTGGGCTATATATTACAGATGACTGTTGTGTGCATTGCAAATCACAGTTCCTAAAGGTAGATAGTTTTACAAGCACTCGTTCTTGTGAACCATGACATGTTAAATAAATATGTTCTTAGGGATCCTTTAATTCACACACTCACACACACACATACACGCACACGCATACACACTTGTTTGTTAACATTTGAAAATCAAAGCTCTTTTAGCTGGACTAGCGGTTTTCTTCCCTAAAAAGGCTTTGTGAATGTCTAGTAACACAACCTGAGTGTACACAGAGAACTCATTTCTTGTTCTTTCTGACCATAGATGGGTGCTCCTTAATGCCTGATTTAGTTGTTGATTGGACTAGTCAACCTGTTTAGGTACTGTTTAAAAGCCTCTTCATCAAGAGATCTGCAAATGTGGGTTTATAGAACTTCACCGTTGTCTCCGACTGAAACAGGGCCCTTGATGCCGTGATGTCTAGCCAGGCCTCTTCTGTATGTGTCACGCATGTGTGGGCATAAGATGTGATGTAAACAGAATGGTAGGTTTCAAAATGAGGAAAATGGGAGGACCTGGGCAGACCATTGGTGCTGCTGTAAAAAATCATTTTTGGCATGAATTTGGGTTTAATTTAACCCATTCTTTGTTAAAAGAAATCAAATTATTCAAGGAACTAGGACCTGGGAACCTCCGCCTCTCCCCTGAATATCATGGTCAGTCCGGGCCTTCATGATAACAAGTTTCAGGTTATTCTATTGAAACGCAAGGGACCAAAGAGTGTTTGTTATCTGTTGCCTTTCAAAGGCCTCTAAGCAGTGAAATACTATCTGAGAGAAAGAGACACAAGACCAGACTAGCAGGTGTTGATCCAAAAAGAGGTGAAAACATTCTCAGCACAAACTTACAGCCAGTGTGAATTTATTTTTGTGCCTCCAGGTAGGGAATGCCTAACAAATAGAATATTATCTACTTTTTAGTCTTATGGAAGATGTTTAAGAATTTTATGGTACGCATGCTGAAACAATTACATATCATAATATTGAATTCTATCATATAACAGAGGAAAGATAACACCAAGGTTAATATCAAAATTAATAATTTGTAAGTTAAGAAATTTTCACTTACAATTAAGAAATTTGCTGCTATATGGTTCTTCACGGAGTTTTTTATTGTTGAGCTATTGCCTGTCCTTTGGATGAAAGGGTTCACGTTCTTTTTTGTTTGCCAGGGCAAAGACTGCTGTTTGACCTTGGGAAGGAGTAAAGGAAAAGATTTCATGGCTGTTCTTGTTTGCTATATTTTCCACTGAGCCCTGGTGGCCATATCAAGATTCTGCTTCAGACGTGATTAGTTTTCCCCAAAGGGTTCTAAGCTTTGAAGACATTTGCATTATGCAAAGAAAAATATTTCTCTAGAGGAATTCTACCTATCCATTCCTCACTGGTAATCCATATCCTCCTTCTCTTTCAAAATTTAAAAAAATTAAAAAATCTGTTTTCTTCAGGAAGCCTCCACAATTTAACGTAACGTACTGTGTAGTCTTATAAAATGCCACATAGAATTCATTTGTGTGACATGAATTCCTGATCTTGATGGTAACTTCTTTGGAGAATATTGTTTCGACTTTTCCAATCACACAGTTGGCTGCTTAGAATGAAGAGGGTCCTTCCCAAAAGCTGGGGTCAAAGAGGGATCTGGTCATGCAGGGAATGCTCAATGAGTATTGACTGGCTCACCTCAAGGCTGGTATATTTCCTGCTTTCACGCCTCTTCTTACATTTACAACATGTGTGACAATGATTTTTTAAAAGTCATTAAAGTAATGATTTTTTTCAAAGTCATTGAAGGAGGGAGAGAGAAGGAAAAGGAGAGACAGAGAAAGAGAAGGAGAAAGCGAGAGAAGAAGAGAGTAGGAGAGGAGGAAGAGAAAAGGAAGAGGATGAGAGAGGAAGGGGAAGAGGAAGAGAGGAAGGGGAGGAGGAGAGGAAGAGGAGGGTGAAAGATTATCTTTACACATTAGTCCCTGTGCTGCCCTATGGAAATATTCGATCACCTTACACTTTTGATGTGAGACAATAACTGATCACAACTGATCCAACTACAGTGAGAAGGAAGGGTGGTGGGTTTATCTACAAGTAATTTCATTAAAGCATTACAGTCTACAGAAGCCCTGGAATCTTGAATAAGTAAAAGAAAGCAAATAAAGAAAGGGAAAAAGATGTCAAACAGATCCTATTGCCTCAGCACAGAGGGACTGAAAATACCTAATACCCCAGGTCCCCAAACCTACAGTTTCCTGAGTTGTTTGGCCTTTTTCAATCTCTCTTACTTTTCACGATTCCTTCAGCTAAAGAGTCTTTGCACAAGCCCGTCTGAATGGCTCTGACCCTTTCTCTTTAGTTAAATTCATTTCAGTTCATTCACTTAATAAACATTCATGGAGTTTTGAACTTGATGCCAGACACAGTTTCAGGCCTTAAGGATAATGTGACAAGGGGGACAGCAGGATCTGCTTTTGTGGGACTTAAATCCCAGTAAGCAGGAACAGACAATAAATACAATATATGTGTGACTGTTTGTCTGCTTAACTACTGTCTTCAAATTTTAGCTTGAGCCTCAACTTCCTCTGGGAGGTCTTCCTTGAAAATTGCTTCCAGATGCTAGATGTCAAATTCTTCCATTAAAAGTTCCTGTATCGTAATTTTACATATGTTTGTGTGATTATTTGATTAACGCCTGTATCCTCCACTGCCTATGGAAATGCATGAGGACAGTGATTTTGTCCTTGTTCCTACCAGATTCCCAGCATTAATTACTGGCACATAGTAAGCACTCAATAAATACTTTTTGAATGAATATATGGGCAAGTGAGAAGGTACACAAGGAGCATACATCCAGACATTTAATAGAATTCCCAGACTGGCTTTAAACTTCCAGGGAGAAGCAGTATGTAAGACACTTTTCCCAAATACCTTAATCAACTACAAATGTAGCTGACATTAGTAGAAATTCAAGTGAAACAAAATGAAGGAGGCCGGGTAGGCAGTTGGGAAGTACTGACAGGTCAGTGGTACACCTAAGAGGAGAAAAAGATAGCTGTTAAGGGAGGTGGAGATTTCCAAAACTAAGTCATCTTCCACCTGGTTACCAAAATCTAGCCAGATCATTAGCAATTCTCTCCAGGACTTGGGCAGATTCCTTCTTTGGAATTGCTAGAACAGCTTTGAAAATGATTTTCCAATGAATTTGATACATAAAAGTGGCCCTGATTTACTTTACCTCCTAATTCAACAGCATCCCCAAATCTTATTGCCTTGAGAGGTCAAATCTGTTTTCAAATGGGACTACCTTAAACACATAGAAACTTAGATTCTGTTTGGAATTTGGACTCACTTCTCTACCTTATTTGGTACACAAAGTCAGTGTGGGTTTATAGTAGTAGCATTTTATGTCCCCTTAGCACACTGCTGTGGGGAACTCTTGAGGAAGTGGTGGTTAGCAGTGGAATGATAATGCATATTATGTCAACTGACTTCTGCTGGAGTAATATTTGTAATGCTGGATAGAGTATAATATCTGTGAAGATTGTTACCACACGTACACTTTGTTTTTAAAAAATAATACTGGAAACTTTACTTTTTAAAAGCCTAACTAACTCTATATCTCTCAAGTATGCCTCTGACCATAATGATCCTCTTCGCCTACTCAGTAAAAGGAGAATGGAACTAACATTTCTTATGTGCAATTATGTGCTGAGAGATAAATACTGTTTCCATTTTGTTTTGGGGACACTTATACCTGAAATGGACTTAGAGAGTCTAAGAACCTTGCCTAAAGAGATAGCAATCAATATCAGAGCTAAGCTTTAAGTAAACCCTAGATAATCTGAGTTTTTTTCTGAATAAGATGGCATCTCTGAAATCTTACTGTATATAAATTGTTACAGGCATTGTGTCTTGAATAACTAATGATTTTTGTCATGACAAAGAATTAGACAATAACTGGGTACTTTCAACAAGAAAGATGTAAGGATTCTTCTTGTTGTTTGTTTTTATGGCTATGCTGAATTTGGGATTTTCTTCTTATAAAATTATTTTTGTAATTATACAGATAAAAGACCATATCATAAAATGAGAAAAAGACATGAAGATGCTTTAAAATTAAAAGAAGTCTATTGTTATTAGTACTGTACTTTAGGTTTAGATAATATAAGTATCAACAGAAAAATAAAAACATACTGGAAATTCAATATAACGTGTTATTGTTTTTGTTGTTTTCTATTGTTTATCTAAGAGAAGATACATCAGGCTTCACAAATCAGGGGTTTTCTGGAGATATCAAAAATCATCCCCCAAAATGATAATGATGTGAGGTGATGAATACGTTAATTTGCTTTACTTAATCATTGCACTGTATATAAATGAACATTACATTGTGTGCCATGCATCTATACAATTTTCACTTGTCAATTAAAAATAAATTTAAAAAAAGACCTTTCTTCAGATATTATTAGTGAGGTGGTCCCTCCTCATGACTCTTAAGGAAAATTAAGGACAAAACAAGCAAATATAACAACATTTCCAATAGAAACCTGAGAATGTGGTTCATATGCCCCCAAATCTCTCTATAATTCTAGCCAAATACTTTTTTTCCGGTTATCTCTCTTCAAACTTTATGTTTAATAAAGAAAATTTATCTTTTTTTTCCTCCTTTTTTCTTTGGTTTTTGGTGTCTTAAATAATGCCAGACAATTCGGTTTGTTCTAGCAGTCACTTGATTCAACAGCTGTGATAATGAATAAAAAAAAGAACAGTGTAGGTAAATGAACTTACAAAAATGTCAAATTTATTAGATTGGACAAATCACTGACCTACATTTCAAGTCCTGAAGATTAAAGTTGTACTCTGGTGTGAGGTCATGAAACTCTCAAGTTAAAGGTATAAGAGACTTTTTTTTTCCCAACAAGTAAACAAAAACATTTTTTCTCACCTTGCTCAGGGTAAGATTTTATTTCTGTTATTAATGCTAAGCTATTTCTATTATATATAATATATATAATATAAATATAGTATATAATATTTCTATAATAGCTTAGGTACTTTTGACTTAATGAAAGATTCGGAAACAAAACTTATTTTGGATTTATTTTTGCCTGACATGAATCATTTCTTATTTTTTCCTGTAGTTGGAATTCACTTCATGAAATGTGTTAGTCTGCTTATTTCTGAGGAGGCTTGTGTTAAAATGGAACCAAACATGCTATGTGTTGATACGCTCCAAATATTCATTACCAGGTACACACAGGTACTCAGGCTCGCTCCACGAGACTGTTAATTTCACTAGTTGAGGGAATTTTAATCTCCGAGATTGACCTCTTTCAGAAACAAAGGGGGAGGGAGATAGAGAAAGAAAAAGTACACACCTGCAACCTATTTCTTTTTGAAGCAAAGCCTTTGAGCAGATGGAAGATGAGATAGAGAGAGAAAACAGGCCAATTGCCAAGAGAGGTTTGTTTACAATACAGGCAAGTTCCTTCAGAAGTTGATAGAGAGCTGTTGTCATGGAAATGAAGGGAAATATTGCTGCAGGGTTCCACAGAACAAATTCCTACTACAAATATACCTGGATTTAAAGGTGACGGAGATGGGAAGGGGGGCAAAGAGCTTCCTGAAAAAGTTTTAAGTAATGCTTTTCTGCATATCTTTGAGGTGTTCCTCAGAACCTGAGAATTCCTTGCCTTGTGGTATGCAAAATAGGCAATCAAAATAAACGTTGCCGTTCTTTCTGTATTACATGGAATTCCTAACAAGAATAAGAGAATTAGTGTTCAAGTGAGAAGTCAACAGTACATGTATCTCAATTCTGGAACATTGACTATTGTTTAAAAGACTTCTGAGAAGTACACTATTATTGTTAAAAACATACCAAAAAGATGTTTTTTTTTAAAATCCCTACTGCAGTAACACAGGTAAAGTGCCTACACCATAAGGTACTACAAAACACTGTTTTCAGTGTACAAATATCAACCTTTAACAAATTAAATAGAATCTATTCCCCCGCCTTGCCCTCCACAAAAACAAAAACAACCCCTCAATTTATAATTTATTGCCTGCTTCAAAATCTAGTCTTTGCTTTAACTTTGACCACTATGACTTTCTACTGTTTTTAAAAGAAAATCTTTTCACAAATTAGTTTTTTGAAATGTAAATTGTTTTGTGGACAAAAGTTAGTCCTGCAAATCTTCAGCTTTACAAATTCCTTATTAGGAAGTGCTTAGTAAGCTATTTTCTGGCTTTTCTCCTTTCTCCAACAGTTCCAGCAGAGGATGATGTCATTTTTCCCTTTTCCTGTTCCACCTCCCACCCTTTTATCCCACTAAGTTTCTTGTTAGGCTTTAATTGAACACAGCAACACCTGTGTTTCTTTACTGGACTTCAAACTACTATTTCCAATCCATTTCTTCAGCTGCTTACAGGGTTGTTTTCATTAACAACAGATAATTAGCAACTTCACACAGATTGAGGAAAACAATCTAGAAGCCTATAGAAGCTTCTGTGGCCTGTTGCTCATATTAAATTAAGTGTAGATGCTAATGATCAAGACTTGACATTGTTTATTAGATATTGTAGCACAGGGTTATAAAAAAAAAAAGCAGGAAGAAACCAAGTTGGGAAATTGGATTTCTCTTGTTGACTCTGGCATTAACTAGCTGGATAACTCAGACAACTGGCCTAACCTACTCTAGTTTTACATTTCTTAACTCCATCAATCACGTGTTGAAATGGTTAATACCTTTAGTCCTTTGTAATTTTATTATTTTGTAAGAATTATATTGAATTCATATAATCATTTCCTATTTGCAATATGGCGCATAAACTTCTAGAAACTGTAAAACAATCATTATATCTTTTTTTCTTTTCTCATTCCTGTTCCCTTTATCATCTCCACACACCAGCATCCTCCCTTTCTTACTCACATGTTGTCTCACCATATGATACAAAGGAAACCAGTCAACGCTGTCTGAACAATATTATGCCATCTGGTAGGATTTCCATCCCACTCACTTCTCTATTGCTATAATTCTCCTCATATATACTTGGGGGAATTCTCCCTAGACAGCATCTTCAAAAGCTGCATATTCAGATTTACCTCTAAAGGTTTACCTGGGCTTTTCACCTTCATTATTCATTAAGACCACTAGAAGATGTGAAGACTTACGCAAAAGAACCAAAAGAGACGAGAGGATACTTTCTTAGAGATGTTCGGTTTTTCAGCTTGGGCAAGGGGAGATTCAGTTTTAAATATTGATTGTGTCTCTTAAAAGCTGTATGACCTGGCACCAGGTCATTCTAAAACACAGGTCCTCGTTCTAAAACACAGGTCCGCATTCTAAAACACAGGGACATAAATAGTACTCACCTAGCTTGGCTGTTTAAATTAGTTAATACATGGATAATGTTTATAGCAGTGTCTGGCAAAAAACAAAATGTCACCTAGTGTTAGCTTAATTACTGGGGAAGGAAAGATTCTCAGAGATCCATAGATACTTTTTCTGATAATTTTCAACTTATTTCCAATGTTGCTAGATCTTTTCCTACTTTATAATATTTTTTATCTTTGTTGATCATTGTTTGTTTTCCTCACTTCTTTATTTTACCTCCAGGTTATACATTTTATATTCTACCTAAATCAATCTTAATTCAAGGAGAATCATTTTCCCATTCTTTTATTATCATAGGCTTCTGATAAGAGAAGGAAAGTAATTAGCTCATCTTACTTCAAGGAAATATATTGCCCACTTAAAGGCAATTAGTAGTTCTGTGGTCCAGGAAAACAGGATATTGATTTTTTTTTGTTTGATCCAGTGGAGTAGTTGACATGTTTATGTTTTATTCTGCATTGCAGAAACTTGGAAGTGGGGACCCAGTTTTATAAGTAAGGCCTTGTTTGTGTATAATGGAACATTATTCACCTAGTAGGAACTCATTTAGGACATGTTTGTTAATGGTTTTTCTTGTCTTAAAATAAAGGATTCTGAAACACGTTCCAAGTAAGATTGATGATTTTTAAAAGCAGCAGCAAGAGGAAAGGTGGAGGATGAGAAGCTGTTTCTAACCCCCTTCTCTTCTGAATCCTCTCTCTTGGCTTTATTACTGCTTCTACTCTCAGTTGACGGTGTTAGTAATTTACAGATGGGCCTACTGATTTTTTAAAAAGAGAATTCAAGAAGGCCTCGACCTCTTTGCAACACCTATATTTAAAAAAAAATAACTATCCCATATTTTGGAAGAATAACATGTTAGCTCTTTAACGCAGTCTAAGATAGCATGTTGGGACAGCCTTGAACTTCATTCTCTATGCCTCAATTTCCTCATCTGTAAAATACTAATAATAGGACTATCTTATTTATGAAGAATTAACTGTGTTTGTCAGCCAATGATAATAATGCTTGTCATAAAGTAAGGGCTGACAAAATGTAGCTGTGCCGATTATTCTCTTCTATATGTTATTCTGCAGCTATGGTTTATGGGTGCAAGAGGTAGTTACTTATCCCCTCCCTGGAATCTTTCTGTGGAATGTCTATTGTGACCCCATTATTCATTTCTGTTTGGATGGTTGGCCTCTTGGTTACAAGCATGTACATTATGGCTCTCTCCTTGCCTGGAACTGGATATGAGAAATGCTTGAATTAAGATCTGTGAATTATCTTATTTTCTTGGTAAAGTGGGATTGATTTTATTCCAAATAATATTTGTTTGTTTTCTAAGAGAGGAAACTTCTGGCCTCAGTTTCCTTAGATAGGTTTGAATCTTGCTTGGTGTTTTTAATCACTGAAGAGAGATTGAGTTTATTTCTCTGGAACAGATTTTGGTTTATATTCTGAAGTTTTAATTTCATTTGGAAGCTGTAGGCTGAATGATTATCACTTTATAGTAAGTGTATTGGCAGGGGAAGCTGGCTGCTACCGTAACCCCCTACCCTCAGTGGCTTATCACGCTGACTTTTGTTTTTTGCTTTTAGCACAGTTGGGTGAAAATGAGGATGGCAGTTCTGCCACTATCCAGAGCCTCTGACACCCTCTCAGTCCACAGAGTCCTGCAATGGACTTTTTGCATGTGATTAGCAGATGCAGGAAGAAGACAGTATGCCAGGTGCAGGGCCAGCTTTGTAGGCCGCACTGGACAGAGCATGTACCTCTTCTGCCCATGGTCCGTGGTACAGAACTCATCACAGGGCAGCACCTAACTGCAAGCAAGGCTGGGAAATGGAGGCCAGTAACGTGCTCAGAAAGACAAAGGAAATGGCTGGTGAACAACTAGTTACTGCCAAAGCAAGATAGTTAGTTAAACCAATTTTTATATTATGGAACATTTCTGTGATATAATACATGCAGACCTGGAAGTTACAAGAATAGTAACATGAGTACTCAGTTTGAGAAATAATATATTACCAATGCAGTTGATGTCTTCTATTACATATGCCTCTTCGCCTCTGCTTGCATCTCCTTCTGTGTTGCTCAGGAGCAAACACTATTTTATCAGTTTTTTGGTTATCATCTTATGACAGATATATTTATGCCCATAGGTTAACATTTTTTGTTATTTTCAGTCTTTATACAAATGGTGTCTATTGAATGTATTCTTTGGTGAGTTTTTCACTCATCTTTATAATTCTGAAATTCATTCATGTTGACTTGTGTAGTTGTAACTCATCCATTTTTACTGTTGTACGGTATTCCATTTGTTGGAATAATCACAATAGAATCATTCAGTTTCCTGGGCATTTGGGTTACTTTCAGGATTTTTTTCTTTTTGCAAGCAATGCTGCTATGAATATTTCTGTACATATCTCTTCATATATATTTGTAAATTACTCTAAGGTATGAATCTTGCTGCTATTACCAGAATACCACTCTATTAAAATTGTATGCAGTAGTATGTCTTTTTTAAGGACAAGTTAATAATTTAGATTTCCATTTACTCTTCCTAGGTTGGTGTGAGTGTGTTGCTATTGAGTGCTGGCTTCACGGAGTGTGAACGAAGTCAGACTAGAATATTTTAACTCCATAGATCCATTATATTTCTTTGATTTTTGAAGAAAATTTTGAAGATAATTTTAAAAGTCATAGTTGTACTTCTATTAGCTATCTCACTTTGTGCAATGTGGCTAAGTTATTTTGGGGGGATTCTATGTTATGTTCGTGGCATATCACTTTTCTGATGTGTAGAGTTCTGTGTGACAGAGCTAGATTTATGTCAGAGATAAGAGAGTCTCCTGAATTATTTTTTCTCCCCACTGACTAGTTAAGTGAATTTCCAAATTCCTAACCTTATTCTTGTGATTTAAGGCTTTATTTCCTTTTAAAAACCAAATTGTCCTTCTGACAATACATAAAGAATAAGCAAACTAATCATTTAAGAAAAGCAGAAATCATCTTAATTCCAGAATCAGAAAAAATTGTGTCCAAGACTCACAAATGGAGATAATTTGATGGGAAAAATAATGTTTTTAGTGGCATCATCATAGCAAATGACAGGGTGACTTTCACAGGCCTGTTTGTGATAGTGCCGCCTACCCAGGCAGATGGCACCACCCGATGTGTTGTTGAGTCACAGCTGTCTCTCAGTGGGATAAATCTATGAGTTTCACATTAGAGTAACCTTCCTATAGCCCAGAAGAAGGGCAGTGTTTTTCATAATAAGAAAAAGAAACAGAGAAAAATTAGACAGTCTCCTAAATAAGAGTCATGGAGCAAAAACACCTATTATTGTAGCACAGCCTGATGAAGTTTTGGCACATGGCTCATTCCTCCAACACTGATCTTGTCATTCAACATAAATTTCTGGTTTCTTGCTCACATGACTCAGAGTTGCATATACCTAGAATTTGCCTTCACGGGGAAATCCTTTCAAGGCTTACAGGCCTAACGTATCTGGGGCAGGCCATGGGGAAGACTGACATTTTAAACCACATGTTTATTAAATTATATGTTTGAAAAAAACTCCTGCAATTTTAAACCGCATGATAGTGCAGGGATTTATTTTTCATTTATAAAATTGTGTTATTGTAATAATTTTTCTTTGAAAGGAGATGAGACAGAGTGAATAGGGAATTTCTCAACTCCTTTTTGCAATTTGCTCCCTAGCTGTGTTACTCAGTCCTTTGGCTCTTCAGAATCTATTTGTAGCTAGATATCCTAGTGGCCTAAAAGACAAAGTGCTAGCACCCAGCAGTCAACAGCTAAGGCTTTAGGGCCCAAATACCTGGGTTTGAATCCTAACTGTGTCAACTTCAGCATGGTCCCAAGTCTATCTGTGCCCTCAGTTTTTTTAATTTGTAAAATAGAGATGTTCATACTAATATTTAATTTTTAGTGTTTCAATAAGTATAGCTCAACAAACCAATAAACCCTGTTACATTATTCTCCTCCTCAACAAATATCAGCAAGTCTACTCTCTGCCAGACACCATGCTAAGTGCTGGTAATATAAAGATCTTATTATTGCCTTGGGAAAGAGCATCTAATAGTTCAGTGAAGAGACATTTTCTGTAGAGTAAAAAATGCATTCATATTTCAGGAGTTGCCATGCTTGTGTTGGCACACTATTTACTTTCTTCACATCACCCTAAATCCTCCATAATTGTTTTTTGTCTTACTCTAATACCAAAGACTGGGTGGCTTACAAACAACAGAAATTTTTCTCTCACAGTTCTGGAGGCTGAGAAGTCCAAAAATCAGTGCACTGGCAATTCTGTGTGTGGTGAGAGCTGCTTTCTTATTCATGGATGGTGCCTTCCAGCTGTGCCTTCACATGTTAGATGGGGTAAGGGGTCTCTCTGGGGCCTCTTTGATAAGGGCACTAATCCCATTTATGAGTGCTCCACATTCATGACCTACTCACCTCCCAAGGACCCTACCTCCTAATACTATCACATTGAGGATTAGGATTTTGGTGGAGGGGGACACAACCATTTAGACCATGGCAATTTTAAACAGTGTTTTTTATATATGTATATTTTTACTACAAACATCCTTTCTGTAAATTAAGGTAAAGAGAAATAAATCTATCTTCATTATGAGATTCTTTAACTTCATTTAGGCTCTCTGAGGTCCGACTGAGTTGTGACAGAGGCAGGTGAGGACTGAAAGCCCAGAAGGGATTCAAGTCAGATGCGTAGAGGGCCCTTGGTCTTGGCAAGTTCTTGAGCCAATAAAAGAAGAAGTTTTCCAACATCCCTGCCACTTCATTCAAGCACTGAGGAAGAACATACTTCTGTCTCATCTCTTCCCACTGGGTGATATGACCTATGTTTCCCATTTGGGTGAGTTTAATATGTTCAAGGTCACCCTTCAAATGTGACCTGTGACCATTTACCCTCCTGGGAGCTCCTGCTTATAACTGTAGGCATTGCCCTCTCCTCTGAGCCTCCCTGAGGAAGCTCTGTTCTGCAGAAAGGACAGACAGAGGGGATGTACCTAGAGTTATTCAGCTGCTGTGTTGGTGACCAACTCAGGGTAGTAGGACTAGGACACCCAATTTGACCTCAAGCCCAATCTATCCTAATACAACTTTACCAGTTTGGATGCCTAAGCAAATCATATGTCTGTTTCTCTATTGACACAAAATCCAGCAGAAAGAGGCCTGTAGTGAATTGGCCCCTCCAGTCCCTAGGTTGTACTCTCTATTTTGCCATTTACCAGTTCTGTTACCTTAGGTAACTTATTTTACTCTCTAGACTATAATAACGACAGTGTATTCATTTCCTATTGCTGCTATCACAGATTGCCCTGGACTTAGTGGCTTCTAATAGCACACACTTATTGTCTTACGATTCTGAGGATCAGAAGTTCAACACATGTCTTATTGGGATAAAAGCAAGGTTTTGGCAGGACTGTATTCTTTCTGGAAGGCTCTAGGGGAGGATCTGTTTCTTTCCCTTCTCTAGCTTCTTCTAGAGGCTACCTGCATTCCTTGGCTTGTGGTCCCTTCCACTGTCTTCAAAGCCAGCAGCATAGCATCTCCAGACCTTGTTCCTACTCTGACACTTCTGCCTCCCTCTTAGAAAGACCCATTTGGTTATACTGGGACCATCCCAATAATCTAGGATAATTTTTCCATCTCAAGATTCTTAACTTAATCCCACCTATAAAGTAAAGTCTCTTTTGCCACATAAAGTAACATTTTTACAAGTTCAGGGATTAGGACATGGACATCTTTGATGGGGAGAACGTTATTCTGCCTTCCATAGAAAGTATGACTGGATAATTTCTAAATTATTTTCTACTCATATATATATTACTATAAATTAGGTTTGCAGATCTTACGATTTTTCACACTCTCGTGTCCTCGTAAAAAGATAGGTTACTTCAAACCTAAATCCTTATGTTACCCTCTCCATCTTCGCCCTTTTTTCACCTTCTCTTTATTCCTGCAGAAACCCATTAATAACTACTTTCCTCTATACAGATCTTTGATTCACTATTTAAACTCAGTATTAGAAACAAATCCAGCTTCTAATTTACTCATGCCCCTTCTGTTGTTTAAATAATATTTATTTAGTCTGATATGCTCTTTGCAGTTTAAATATTATTCTTTGCTGATATTTTATCTCATCAAACCTGCTTATTCACAAGTGATGGAAAAATGACTTAGCCACCCTACCCATCCCCCTTTCTCTATATAGTAAGGGTAGTTTAATCTAGTGAAATCTTAAGGATTAAAGAAATATACATTTTATGTAGAATACTCAACTGGGTTTTAGGACCAGAAATATGAGGTAGCATGTACCCTGCCATCTAGCTAAATACTTGCAAAATACTATAGTAGAGCTTCACTGTTCTGAAGACATTTGCAGAGTGCTTCTGGAATTAGCAAATTGCTAGAGCTTGTTTCCTTCTTACTACTTCTCATTGCATTGTTTGCCTTACTATAAAATCATCAAATGGAATTTCAGAAACATCAACATATGTTTTATTTTTTTCTGACTCTTCTCATCAGGAAAGAACCTCATTTTTAAACAGCTGTTTTCCTGATTTTGTCTTGGTTGATGCAATGCTTTTTAAACTGTGGATGAAATAAGGGGATGGGAAGTGTCAAGAATGCTGATATTTTATCAGGCCCTTATTTAGGCATTTATGAAGAAGACGGTGATTACTTATTCATTCCCAAATTCTCTACCTCCCATTTAAGTAAGTGTCTGCCTGCTTCGCTAATTGTTAAATAATGAAAAGACCCACCCCTCAAAAGATTCTTTGAAAATGTAGCAACTATGGTGATGACTAAATTTCTTCAAGTGACACCTGGAAAAAGAAAGTATTTTGTTTCTCTTTGCTATGAGAGCACAATTTTCAGACCTTTTCAATGGGGCTTGAATTTCACTGTGGCTCTTCAAAGAGCTGCTATTATTTTGGGCTACTTCTGGCAATTGCCATGAAAATGATAAACTGCTAAGGCCTGAAGGCTTGACACAAACTGTCACTAGCAATGTGTGTTTGTGTGTGTGTGTGTGTTTGGCTATCAGCTTTGATGTGCTAATTACATGTTACCTTGTTCCTTAGTCCTTTTCCTTAACATTTGCATAAAATCAAGGTAAAAAGCATGCCATAGGCATCCTTGCAGGAATTCATCATCTTGAAAGGAAGAAGGATCCTTCCAACCGTATTTTTCTTAATCAGGGCCACCCCTTAGGTGTGCAAAGCCTGAGGCAAATATTTATTTTTTGTAGCACCTGTGTCTGTATAAACACTATTAAAAATTAGTACAATATTCATGAGGTCATGCATAGTGCCTTATAAATGAAGTTTTGGAATAATAAGAGAAGATGTACTTACGCATTTGTTTATTGTCCAGTCAGAGCCTGTGAGGATTCTTCGCAGTGGTCAGGCACCACCTTGTCATGTTCTTAATTGTTTTTTTGTTTGTTTGTTTGTTTGTTTTTTGAGACAGAGTCTCGCTCAGTTGCCCAGGCTGGAGTGCACTGGCGCTATCCTGGCTCACTGTAACCTCCACCTCCTGGGTTCACGCCATTCTCCTGCCTCAGCCTCCCGAGTAGCTGGGACTATAGGCGCCTGCCACCTTGCCTGGCTAATTTTTTGTATTTTTAGTAGAGACGGGGTTTCACCGTGTCAGCCAGGATGGTCTCGATCTCCTGACCTTGTGATCCGCCCACCTCAGCCTCCCAAAGTGCTGGGATTACAGGCATGAGCCACCGTGCTTGGCTTATGTTCTTAATTGTTAAATGTAATAAGGTACATTTATTACCTTATACCGAGAGTAAGGTAGCAATAGTGCCATTGTTCACAATGCCATGGCCATGGCTCTCTGGACACTATTTGTGCTAAAATAATGTTGACCTTTTTGCCTTTGAAACTTCCCAGTACCATTTACTTGATGTTGGTGGCATCATTTCTCATGACCTGTATTATTCACCCCACTGTCCACAAATCCTGGCTTCCAGAGATTCTCTCAAAGGTAGATATGAGGCTTCATTGATAGCCACAAATACAAAACTTGTTCAGAGTACACAGAAAATGTGAACAATAGTCCATATTCCAGTCATCTTGAATTTATTGTGTGGATTTCTGTAGCATAAACATAGCACAAATACACCTTCCATCCATGTCTCCTCTTGAACTCTTTAGGCCATAATCACTGCATTCCTAGATTGTGAAACCTTTCAATGTTGATGAACAACGTGGCTCTCACACACGGCTACCACCAAGGGCCAGAAATGGAGAGAAAGGGGGAATAGGTGGAGAGAGAAAAGTGATTCTTGGAAGCAAAGTGTATTCCTTATCCAACATGGTTTGAGGTTAACCCAGAGAGCACCTTGTCACCATATGGATGGGAAGGGCCCTTTGGCACTGGGGAGCAATGAATGTCCTAGGAAGAGATAGGCGCAGCTGTCCTGGAGGGATACCTGTCACATGGTGCATAGCGGAAAAGGGTGGGGTGACCATCCTGAGTGCCAGTGTGGGGATGGAGAGGGATCTACCTATTAAAGAATGCCCACCCCACCCCACCAACCTAAGGTACTCTAGACCCACATGCAGACAGCCCACAACACACACTGTTCAAGCCCCAGGGTTGGCCCAAAGTATGACTTGTCCTTTGTTTGTTGTGAATAAAAGTCTGTCCAAATCAGCATGTCAGTAGTACTCTTCTGGTAGTTCAATTACCATACTGGATGATGAAAATGATCCACTTGCTTACAACAATGTCCCAGCCATGGAACTTCAAGAACACTGCATAGGTACAACTCAGGGCATCTGGTCAACTTCACTTTTAGGAGAGGTGGATTATTGGGGTTAGAAGTTTGGAGAGCACCTCAAAGGAAAGGAACAGAAACAGGGTCATGACCAAGACTCCTGGGTCTTGACCAAAGCTTGGGGCATATGGCTCCTGCTGGTTCCAGGCAGAAGAAGGAGACTTGGATGAAAAAACTGAGGATGGTACTTTAAAGAACAGGACCCCCTTGAAATGCAGCAGCAGTCCTACTTCCTTGTATCTAATGGCTTTAAGTGATAACGGAAGTGTGTACGTGGGGGTTAGACTGATTATATGGGTGTGAATTTTTATTTATTTTAGTACTAACTGGCTGGTTGCATTCTCCTTCCCTCTGTCATCTGTCATCCATCCATCAAGCAGTAACTGACTACCTTTGATGTGCCCAGCAGGGTCAACTTATCCATTAAGCACTAAGGCCAACTCTTAGGGGCCCAGAAAAATGCTCTAATTGCTTTTATGAACACAAGAAGAAAATGAACTTTTAGGTCCAAGAACATGTTGTAACATATAATATTAAACTATTCATCTTTATACCAACAGTCACAAGGTATATTTTAAAATATCTTTTATGGAGGAAAAGTCCCACCAAGGCTAAAATGCCCAAAGCCTAGGGAGATCATAATGGAGCCCTGGTGATCTGCCCCACGCTAGAGGCTGGGGCTGCAGCACTGAGCAGAAAGCAGTCCATGGGTGTTGGAGGAAGATGGAAAAGAACACAGGAAGTTACATTACAATGTAATGCATTATTGCAACAGAGTTAAGCCCAGGGAACTTACAAATAGGCCTGTAGCAAGGTTGGCGGTTGGCAGTGGATGTGTCTTTGCAAATCAGTGATGGGTTGGAGGCAATTGCCTCATTGCTTTATACTGTATAGCCAGTCCACTAGGGTTTTATCTATTATTCTTGTTATTGATGCAGATGATGATCCAAGCAAATTATGGGCAATTATTAAACTCAGCTACTGGTAGAGATTTAACTTTGATACTGGCTGCTTTGAAATATAAGCATCCCGTCTGAAAGCACTTTGAAATAATTGAGAAATATATAATAAATGTACATAAAACTTGCTACCTGGCTGTGTTCATGATTACTTCCAGGTTCTTCAAGCTATCCAAATCAATGGTAATCCTAACATACTATATTTGAGCTGTTGAGACTGGAATAGACACCTCTAAGTGATGCCTTTTTAAATACCAACCAGGGTAATGATCTCATTACCTCTCAGCCTAGTCCACAAAGGACAACTTTGTATTTTAGTAAGACTTTTTTGTGACTTTTTACTATAAAATAGTAACAATAATAGAAACAAAACCTTCTGTACATTTGTTTTGCCATAACAGGTAACAAGGCTGATATGGTTTGGATTTGTGTCCCTGCCCAAATCTCATGTTCAGTTGTAATCCCCAGGGTTGGAGGTGAGGTCTGGTAAGAAATGGTTGGATCACGGGGGCAGTTTCCCATGGTTTAGCACCCCCTTGGTACTGCATAATGAGTGAGTTCTCATGAGATCTGGTTGAGTGTGTAGCATGTTCACCCTCTCTCTCTTATTCCTGCTTCAGCCATGTAAAACATGCTGGCTTCCTCTTTGCCTTCTGCCATGATTGTAAGTTTCCTGAGGCCTTCTCAGAAGCTGAGCAGAGCCATCATGCTTCTTGTACAGCCTGTGAAACTGTAAGCCAATTAAACCTCATTTCTTCATAAACTATCCAGTCTCAGGTATTTCTCTATAGCAGTGAGAGTGCTAATACAAATGCTAATATATACGCCTCATTAGTTTGCATGACTCATTAGTTTGGGTCATATTTGATAATACCCAAGTTTCTTTCAAACCATAAAAGTTTAATTTATTTACATTTTATTTAATGAATGCAGGCACTCAGCAAAAGTTATGTACTTCATTCAGCAAGTGAACATTTACTGAGCATTCACTATTGTGCCAGACACAATACCACTTTACCAGGTACTGGGGATATTTAAGCAACACACAGCCCTTATCCTCAAAGGACTCATGATTTAGGGGAGGTTGTAGGCAAGAAAAACAGTGGTTATGAAACGGGAAAGGTTCCCTTGTCCTCCTCGCAGGGCGTGGGCTGGGGGTGTGGCTGGCTTCTTTAGTCCCCCGCTGCCCAAACCTCTAGGAGAACATACAGACGGGCAGGCTATGGGGCTCCGACCCCACGGCAGTGTCTAGGGGTGAATGTTTACAGCTTCTGAAGCCTCAGTGGGCATGTGTTACCGGATGCTCTCTTAGTTTGCCGTCTATAGGTGGCTTGTGTTAACCAGCTCAATTAGATCCTCTACCTTGTCCCAAGGACAGAGGGCCTTCTGTATCCCAGGTTCCTGCCTTGGTGTACCAGAAGAATTGGGTCACATGTAGGCTTGGAGAATTAGTATGAAGTTTTATTGAGTGGAAGTAGCTCTCCGCTGATGGGGGAGCCAGAAGGCAGATGTTTTTTCTCTGGAGTTGGGCTGCTTAACACCTGGCCCTCCTCCAACTGCCCTGGCCAAACTCTGCCACATCCCGTAGGTCGACAGCCTGCTGGCTTGCCGGTGTCTGTCAGTGTGCTCTTCCACCAGCATGCTCCCTCTACATCCCCTAGCCATCCAGCCACTTGTGTCTTCTGCTGTTGTGCTCCTCTTGACATCTGGTCACCTGTGTGTCTGCCTGCTAGGGTCTTGGGTTTTTATAGGCCCAGAATGGGGTCATGGCAGGCCAGGGTGGTCTTGGAAACTGCAACATTTGGGCAGGAAGGCAGGAGTGCCTGTCCTCACCTAGGTCCATGAGGGTGGAGCCCTAGCAAGGGACCCACATTTCTCTACCCAGCACTTCCCTGCCTCCCTTCTGTATCAGTTACAATTACTGTTATGGTTACCTTCAATGGCTGATAGACCTTCCACTTAAAGTTTGGTTTGGATATTGAGATTTCTGATGCCACATACTAACAGAGAGGGTATGAAATGATTAATTACTTGCAAAATTGAGATCTCTGAGGTGAGAAAAGCAGGGCTTTCAATCAGGTCTAAAATGACTTAAGGGCAAGGAAAGGAGGCTGGCTCTAGGTTTTTGTTGTGATTCCAAAATGAGGCTGGAATCATGGGCTTTTGTGGCTTGAATCTCCCACTGACATCAAAGGGAACACCAGGTTTCCTTATCAGCTTGTCCAGATACTTGGCACCAGGAGGTGAGGAAAGAGGGCTTTCAGCATCAAATGCCAAAAACATGGAGTAAGTCTCCTCTTTATAAATGCAGTGTGATCAGAAGTTCTATAAGGGAAGTTTGCAAAGGGTGCTTACCTCACATGGACATTTAACTCAGTCTTGGAGGGTTCAAATCCTGTCCCTGGAGAAAAAATGCTCTTGAGTTGCTTCACAAAGGGTGAGAGGAAGGGGGAGAGGAAGAATGAGAGGATGTTCATCATGAAATTTAACTCAAGGCAGGACGTTCGAGGTGGAAGGTATTGTATTTGAAGCACCAAAGGGTGAAAGTGCAGAGTACCTGAGGTTGGAGTGAATTTATAGGATAGGTAACATGTAGTGTTACAGCAGTAGATGCACCTAAAAGGTATGAAGTTTGAGCTTCATTCTGAGGATGAAGGAGAATCATTGTAGAGTATTCATCAGATTTGCATTTTGAAAGGTGACTATTCTATTTAGAAGGCTACCTGAGGTTAAACAAGAAGGGAAGACAAAATCTATGAACTGTGAGAGATATACGACTTGATCAGTTAACCTCTTGATAATTGCAGTCTCAATTTAAGCGGTTGTTCTCTTAGTTTAAGTGGTTGTTCTCAACATAGTCTTACTGTCTTTCTAGTAAAGGTGCATAGTGAGGGGCAAGGAAGGAGATGGAGGTAAGAAAGTTTTGGTCAATCTTTTCAAGCAACAGATACCTCTATGCTCTCTCAACTATTCTGATACAACCCCTAGGGGAAGGAATTTTCTGTGTTTTGAAAAAACAAAAACCTGCCAGGATGATTTGGTTTTATGTCAATCTCGTCCTAGCAAAGAATTACTGAGTTAATAAAGTAAAGCTCTGAGAGTGAATTTCAGGCTTAGGTCTGGTGGGGACAGGGTATTGAGCTGGAGGATGGAAGGGGACAATGAATACCTGTTACACTGTAATGCTTTCCTGGAGTATTGCAATCACAGAAAAGCAGGCTCTCTAGAGTGGGTATAAAAAATAAGAGACTTAGCCCCAGTTCTTTAGAAATGCTCAATTTAGTGGAGGAGGACAGAAGAAAGAAAAGACAGAAAAGAAAGAAAGAGAGAGAGAGGGACCGAAAGAAAGAAAAAGAAAGAAAGAAAGAGGGGAAAAAAAGAGAAAATACAGAAAAGAGAAGTAGAAAGAAAATGAGATCTGAAATTGTCAAGAGGGCCTGGACCCTGAAGGGAAATTAAGGAAAGCAAAATCCTGATGTGTTCATGTCACTAGACTCCCTTCCTCCTATTTTTGACATGAGAACTAAAAAAACCTTCAAGACATTTGAGAATGGGAGACAAATACTAATCAGATATTTTATAATATGTAGCCATAGTTTCCTAACCAGGTTCCCTTAAAACGTTCTCAGCCAGTGGTCTTTGTTTTCTGCCCACATTTCAGGTAGGTCTCCTGGAAATCTTTGTGCAACACTGGAATTAGCTGCCATCGAACCATGGGCTCTGTGCTGTTGGAGCCAAGAGAAAAGAGTAATAAGAGTTGGAACTGGTCTGCTGAGCAAAGGCTCCTTTTTTTCAAAGCAGGAGGCTGTGGAGTTGGGGGAGGGGAGTTTGATTAAAGGAAGAAAACCTTCTGTGACCAAGGCAACCAGAGGGCCCCCAAAAGCCTGTGGGAGCCTGGGGGAAGAGGCATGAAGTCCTGTAGATTTGTTACATCAAGATGTTAATGTTTTTAATCAAGGTTCCTAGGTGACCCTCAGGCAATTAACTCATGGTCCAGTTGTCCTATTATGTATCTTCAGCTGATTCTTCTCTTTGTATATTCTCTTCTCTTTTCCCGACCACCACTACTAAATTTGAGAAGTGGTTATGAGGTGCTACATCAGCATTAATTTAATCCTAGTACTTAATTCATTTCTTTCTCTTTTGTAGCTGATTGAAAAAAGGAGGAAGTTATTTCAATCAAGGTTTTATCCTTTTGAGAGAAGGATAATTTAAATATGTGAAACATGATATTTCTAAAACCAGGGAAAGTAGCCTTATGAAATAATTCTGACCATATGAATGAGTCCACATTTCATTGTCATTACCAGGTGCACACAACAAGAGCTGAACTAGCTTTCTACTTTATTTATTTATTTATTTATTTGAGACAGAGTCTCACTCTGTTGCCCAGGCTGGAGTGCAGTGGTGTGATCTCGGCTCACTGCAAGCTCTGCCTCCTGGGTTCACGCCATTCTCCTGCCTCAGCCTCCTGAGTAGCTGGGACTACAGGCACCTGCCACCACTCCTGGCTAATTTTTTTTTTGTATTTTTTTTAGTAGAGATGGCATTTCACAATGTTAGCCAGGATGGTCTCCATCTCCTGACCTCGTGATCTACCCACCTCGGCCTCCCAAAGTGCTGGGATTACAGGCGTGAGCCACCGGGCCTGGCCGAGCTGAACTAGCTTTCTAGATCAATATTCATTCAAGTGATTATAGGAAAATGGTTATAAAAGTACTGATTTTAAAAATTATAATTTTGAGAGCATAATTGCAAATATATGCCTTAATAGTAGTAGACATTATTTTTAAGATTACGTGAATTTGAGAACAAGGTAAATTGACAGCTGGTATTTTACCATGCAGGTTGATACGAAAGTTTGAACTGAAAATAAAAGTCCACAAAAATATAGGTAAGGAAGTATTTAATAAAATGGCACTTAAATAGAAGAAACATATTTTGCAACTCAACTTCCTGTTTAACACTATTCTTGAAATATTTTACATTGCATTCTCTTACCCTCATCTAGTACTATTTAAATTTTTGCTCATCAATTCGTTTGTGGGATATTGGTTCATTAGGAGACACGATTAATTGCATATTACCGATGATTCATCAGGGCAAATGTGTTTCATTAATGCAACAGAGTACTGTGAATATGGCCAGCACAAAAAGTACTCAAATATTCACAGAAAATTTAAAAATATATGTTGAATAGGACTGCCAACAGAACAGACTTGACCCATTAGGGAGGATTTATAGTGTCAGGTCTTAACATTTACAGTGTTAGACTTTCAGCTAAATTTCTAGGAGTTAAGTTTTCCAGAGGAGATGACACCCAGGCACTGTGGCAATATGCTTAAAATTAGAAGGAATAGCTGTCCATTCATTGCTGCTGTCTCCAGAATTTCTATGGAACATGGTGGCTCGCCTGCTGCCTTCCAGGCAAATTCCTGAAGATAGTTCACTTTATAGCTCTGATTTTGTCAACTACAGAAGAAAATGGGAAGGAGAAGTAAAGAACGGTTCTTCTTGGTGATAAGTGTTCTGTTTTTCATGACATTGCTCACTGTGGTTTGAATACTTTTTCTAGGAAGAGTGACAGATTTGCACAGGTGTAGCTATACTCCTTCAACTGTCTTCCTTATTGCTAATCGTGATTTATGAGTTAGCTTTTCTAAGGTTTGGGAAGGCATCTGTGCTGTATCTTACAGTGGGCCTAAGGATCCAGGCCTATTTACTATCTGACTGTAATTTTACCCTCTGTATGCTTTCTTCCTTGATGGAAAAAAACTGGTATAAATTATCCACCATTTTTCACTGTTAAATGTATGTATTAGGGAGGGCATTCCACAATGGCAGAATAGGAACAGCTCCGGTCCACAGCTCCCAGTGTGATCAACGCAGAAGACGGGTGATTTCTGCATTTCCAACTGAGGTACCTGGTTCATCTCATTGGGACTGGTTGGACAGTGGGTCCACGGAGTGCATTGCGGTGGACAGTGCAGCCCATGGAGGGTAAGCTGAAGCAGGGTGAGGTGTTGCCTCACCTGGGAAGCACAAGGGGTTGGGGGATTTCCCTTCCCTAGCCAAGTGAAGCCGTGACAGACTACCTGGAAAAGCGGGCACTCCCCGCCCAAATACTGCACTTTTCCCAGGGTCTTAGCAACTGGCAGACAAGGTGATTCTCTCCTGTGCCTGGCTCGGCAGGTACCATGCCCATCGAGCCTTGCTCGCTGCTAGCACAGCAGTCTGAGATCTATCTGCTAGGTGGCAGCCTGGCTGGGGGAGGGGCGTCTGCCATTGCTGAGGCTTGAGTAGGTAAACAAAGGGGCCGGGAAGCTTGAACTAGGTAGAGCCCACCCCAGCTCAGCAAGGCCTGCTGCCTCTAGGCTCCACCTCTGTGGGCAGGGCATAGCTGAACAAAAGGCAGCAGACAACTTCTGCAGACTTAAACATCCCTGTCTGACAGCTCTGAAGAGAGCAGTGATTCTCCCAGCATGGTGTTTGAGCTCTGAGAACAAACAGACTGCCTCCTCAAGTGGGTCCCTGACACCCATGTAGCCTAACTGGAAGACACCTCCCAGTAGGGGCTGACAGACAACTCTTATAGGTGGCTGCTCCTCTGGGACGAAGCTTCCAGAGGAAGGATCAGGCATCAATATTTGCTGTTCTGCAATATTTGCTGTTCTGAAGCCTCCATTGGTGATACCCAGGCAAACAGGGTCTGGAGTGGACCTCCAGCAAACTTCAACAGACCTGCAGCTGAGGGGTCTGACTGTTAGAAGGAAAACTAACAAACAGAAAGGAATAGCATCAACATCAACAAAAAGGTCATCTACACCAAAACCCCATCTGTAGGTCACCAACATCAAAGACCAAAGGTAGATAAAACCACAAAGATAGGGAAAACCAGAGCAGAAAAGCTGAAAATTCTAAAAATCAGAACACCCCTTCTCCTGCAAAGGATCACAGCTCCTCAGCAGCAACAAAACAAAGCTGGACAGAGAAAGACTTTGACAAGTTGACAGAAGTAGGCTTCAGAAGGTCAGTAATAACAAACTTCTCCGAGCTAAAGGAGGATGTTTGAACCCATTGCAAGGAAGCTAAAAACCTTGAAAAAAGATTAGACAAACGGCTAACTAGAATAAACAGAGTAGAGAAGAACTTAAATGACCTGATGGAGCTGAAAACCATGGCACGAGAACTTTGTGATGCATGCACAAGCTTCAGTAGCTGATTCAATCAAGTGGAAGAAAGGATATCAGTGATTGAAGATCAAATTAATGAAATAAAGTGAGAAGACAAGGTTAGAGAAAAAAGAGTAAACAGAAATGAACAAAGTCTCCAAGAAATATGGGACTATGTGAAAAGAACAAATCTACATTTGATTGGTGTACCTGAAAAAGATGGGGAGAATGGAACCAAGTTAGAAAACACCCTTCAGGATATTATCCAGGAGAACTTCCCCAACCTAGCAAGGCAGGCCAACATTCAAATTCAGGAAATACAGAGAACACCACCAAGATACTCCCCGAGAAGAGCAACCCCAAGACACATAATTGTCAGCTTCACCAAGGTTGAAATGAAGGAAAAAGTGTTAAGGGCAGCCAGAGAGAAAGGTCGAGTTACCCACAAAGGGAAGCCCATCAGACTAACAGCAGATCTCTTGGCAGAAACTCCACAAGCCAGAAGAGAGTTGGGGCCAATATTCAACATTCTTAAAGAAAAGAATTTTCAACCCAGAATTTCATATCCAGCCAAACGAAGCTTCATAAGTGAAGGAGAAATAAAATCCTTTACAGACAAGCAAATGCTGAGAGATTTTGTCACTACCAGGCCTGCCCTACAAGAGCTCCTGAAGGAAGCACTAAACGTGGAAAGGAACAACCAGTACCAGCCACGGCAAAAACATGCCAAATTGTAAAGACCATCGATGCTATGAAGAAACTGCATCAACTAACAGGCAAAATAACCAGCTAACATCATAATGACAGGATCCGATTCACACATAACAATATTAACCTTAAATGTAAATAGGCTAAGTGCCCCAATTAAAAGACAGAGACTGGCAAATTGGATAAAGAGTCAAGACCCATCAGTGTGCTGTATTCAGGAGACCCATCTCACATGCAAAGATGCACATAGGCTCAAAATAAAGGTAATGAAGGAAGATCTACCAAGCAAATGGAAAGCACGAAAAAGCAAGGGTTGCAATCCTAGTATCTGATAAAACAGACTTTAAACCAACAAAGATCAAAAGAGACAAAGAAGGCCATTACATAATGGTAAAGGGATTAATTCAACAAGAAGAACTAACTATCCTAAATATATATGCACCCAATACAGGAGCACCCAGATTCATAAAGCAAGTCCTTAGAGGCCTACAAAGAGACTTAGACTCCCAAAAAATAATAATGGGAGACCATAACACCCCACTGTCAATATTAGACAGATCAGCAGGACGGAAGGTTAACAAGGATATCCAGTACCTGAACTCAGCTGTGTACCAAGCAGACCTAATAGACATCTACAGAACTCACCACCCCAAATCAATAGAATATACATTCTTCTCAGCACCACATCGCAGTTATTCTAAAACTGACGACATAATTGGAAGTAAAGCACTCCTCAGCAAATGTAAAAGAACAAAAATCACAACAAATTGTCTCTCAGACCACAGTGCAATCAAATTAGAACTCAAGATTAAGAAACTCACTCAAAACCGCACATCTACATGGAAACTGAACAACCTGCTCCTGAACGACTACTGGGTAAATAACGAAATGAAGGCAGAAATAAAGATGTTCTTTGAAACCAATGAGAACAAAGACACAATGTACCAGAATCTCTGGCACATATTTAAAGCAGTGTGTAGAGGGAAATTTATAGCACTAAATGCCCACAAGAGAAAGCAGGAAAGATCTAAAATGGACACCCTAACATCACAATTAAAAGAACTAGAGAAGTAAGAGCAAACACATTCAAAAGCTAGCAGAAGGCAAGAAATAACTAAGATCAGAACAGAACTGAAGGAGATAGAGACACAAAAAACCCTTCAAAAAATCAATGGATTCGTGACCTGGTTTTTTGAAAGGATCAACAAAATTGATAGACCACTAGCGAGATTAATAAAGAAGAAAAAGAGAGAAGAATCAAATAGATGCAATAAAAAATGATAAATGGGATATCACCACCGATTCCACAGAAATACAAACTACCATCAGAGAATACTATAAACACCTCTACGCAAATAAACTAGAAAATCTAGAAGAAATGGATAAATTCCTGGACACATACCCTCTCCCAAGACTAAACCAAGAAGAGGTTGAATCTCTGAGTAGACCAATAACAGGCTCTGAAATTGAGGCAATAATTAATAGCCTACCAACCAAAAAAAGTCTAGGACCAGACAGATTCACAGCCAAATTCTACCAGAGGTACAAAGAGGAGCTGGTACCTCCTTCTGAAACTATTCCAATCAAAACATTCCTTCTGAGGCTATTCCAATCAATAGAAAAATAGGTTATCCTCCCTAACCTATTTTATGAGGCCAACATCATCCTGATACCAAAGCCTGGCAGAGACACAACAAAAAAAGAAAATTTTAGATCAATATTCCTGATGAACATTGTTGTGAAAATCCTCAATACAATGCTGGCAAACTGAATCCAGCAGCACATCAAAAAGCTTATCCACCACGATCAAGTTGGCTTCATCCCTGGGATGCAAGGCTGGTTCAACATATGCAAATCAATGAACATAACCCATCACATAAACAAAACCAATGACAAAAACCACATGATTATCTCAATAGATGCAGAAAAGGTCTTTGACAAAATTTAACAGCCCTTCATGCTAAAAACTCTCAATAAACTAGGTACTGATGGAATGTATCTCAAAATAATAAGAGCTATTTATGACAAACCCACAGCCAATATCATACTGAATGGGCAAATCTGGAAGCATTCCATCTGAAAATTGGCACAAGACAAGGATGCCCTCTGTCACCACTCCCATTCAACATGGTGTTGGAAGTTCTGGCCAGGGCAGTCAGGCAAGAGAAAGAAATAAAGGGTATTCAATTAGGAAATGAGGGAGTCAAATTGTCCCTGTTTGCAGATGACATGATTGCATATTTAGAAAACCTCATTGTCTCAGCCCAAAATCTCCTTAAGCTGATAGGCAACTTCAGCAAAGTCTCAGGATACACAATCAATGTGCAAAATCAGAAGCATTCCTATACACCATTAACAGACAAACAGAGAGCCAAATCATGAGTGACCTCCCATTCATGATTGCTAAAAAGAGAATAAAATACCTAGGAATCCAACTTACAAGGGATGTGAAAGATCTCTTCAAGGAGAACTACAAACCACTGCTCAATGAAATAAAAAAGGACACAAACAAATGGAAGAATATTTGATGCTCATGGATAGGAATAATCAATATCGTGAAAATGGCCATACTGCCCAAAGTAATTCATAGATTCAATGCCATCCCCATCAAGCTACCAATGACTTTCTTCACAGAATTGGAAAAAACTACTTTAAAGTTCATATGGAACCAAAAAAGAGCCTGCATAACCAAGGCAATCCTAAGCAAAAAGAACAAAGTTTGAGGCATCATGCTACTTGACTTCAAACTATGCTACAAAGCTACAGTAACCAAAACAGCATAGTACTGCTACCAAAACAGAGATATAGACCAATGGAACAGAACAGAGGCCTCAGAAATAACACCACACATCTACAACCATCTGGTCTTTGACAAACCTGACAAAAACAAGCAATGGGGAAAGGATTGCCTATTTAATAAATGGTGCTGGGAAAACTGGCTAGCCATATGTAGAAAGCTGAAACTGGATCCCTTTCTTACACTTTATACAACAATTAATTCAAGATGGATTAAAGACTTAAATGTTAGACCTAAAACGATAAAAACCCTAGCAGAAAACCTAGGCAATACCATTCAGGACATAGGCATGGGCAAGGACTTTATGACTAAAACACAAAAGCAATGGCAACAAAAGCCAAAATTGACAAATGGGATCTAATTAAACTAAACAGCTTCTGCATGGCAAAAAACACTACCATCCTAGTGAACAGGCATCTTACAGAATGGGAGAAAATTTTTTACTATCTACCCGTCTGACAAAGGGCTAATATCCAGAATCTACAAAGAACTCAAACAAATTTACAAGAAAAAAACAACCCCATCAAAAAGTGGGCAAAGGATATGAACAGACACTTCTCAAAAGAAGATGTTTATGCAGCCAACAGACACGTGAAAAAATGCTCATTATCACTGGTTATCAGAGAAACGCAAATCAAAACCAAAATAAGATACCATCTCATGCCAGCTAGAATGGCAATCATTAAAAAGTCAGGAAACAACAGATGCTGGAGAGGATGTGGAGAAATGGGAATGCTTTTACACTGTTGGTGGGAGCGTAAATTGGTTCAACCTGTGGAAGACAGTGTGGTGATTCCTTAAGGATCTAGAACTAGAATTACCATTTGACCCAGCAATCCCATTCCTGAGTATATACCCAAAGGATTATAAATCATGCTACTATAAAGACACACACACACATATGTTTATTATGGCACTATTCACAATAGCAAAGACTTGGAACCAACCCAAATGTCCATCAATGACGGACTGCATTAAGAAAATGTGGCACAGATACACCATGGAATACTATGTAGCCATAAAAAGGATGAATTCATGTCCTTTGCAGGGACATGGAAGAAGCTGGAAACCATCATTCTCATCAGACTATCACAAGGACAGAAAACCAAACACTGCATGTTCTCACTCATAGGTGGGAACTGAACAATGAGATCACTTGGACACAGGGCAGGGAACATCACACACTGGGGCCTGTCAGGGGGTGGAGGCCTGGGGAACCGATAGCATTAGGAGAAATACCTAATGAAAATGTTGAGTTGATGGGTGCAGCAAACCAGCATGGCTCGTGTATACCTATGTGTCAAACCTGCACGTTGTGCACATGTACCCTAGAACTTAAAGTATAATAATAAAAAGATTAAAAATAAATAAATGAATAAATGTAATCACAACTGCTTTGCAAAGTTGTCATTAGGATTAGATATAATATTGCAAGGAGCACAATGGGCTTTTAATACATGGGGACTACTGTTATTCAAAATTCATCAGTCTTCTATTATTTCAGTTTAGATTACTGAATTTTATTCCATCAAATGGATATCAGGGACAGATGGAGTTGTGGATTAGAATCAAAGATTGGTAGTGCCAGAAGGGATCTGAGAGCACCCAGTCTATTCAATCTATGACCTTTAAGCAGATAAAAAAACTGTAGCTCGAGCTCATTGTGTCTTATCCTAGATACCATGTAGAAAAATATTACTTACACATGATATTTAGTACAAGACATACATTGTAGTAAAATAAAATGAAATAATTATTATAATGTTAACAATATTTAACATTATTAAAGCAATAATTGTATTTTTATTATCATAGTGAGGATCGGTGGGAGACCTAGGAATGGAAATTAGTCCTTAAATCTTCCATTTCAAATTTCTTTCCATAGAAGCAAAAGTTCTTAAATGGGAATAATGATGTAACATTCCAAATCAAATCAATCAAATCAAAATGGACAGGGGTAGTATTCACCTACTCTTTTTCATACAGCTTTTTGTGAATTTAAATTCATGGGAAGTAAATTTGGTTCAAATTGCTTACATTTCATATCTACCTAAAGAGTATATCTTTCCCTAGGAAAGTGTTCTAAAAAAAAAAAAAAAGGAAAGCTAATGTTAGCCCTATGATTTTACCAAATTTGGGAAGAAAATATATGCTGCAATTTTTATAGCATACATTTGTTGCATTATAAATGTATTTTGTAGGCTTGAAATCACAAATTCATATTTTTGGGTCCCTAACAATACTTTGCTATAATAAAGTGAAAATGATTAGACAATATATATATATATTTATATATATATATGTATCAGATTTAAAATTACTTTGTCCAACAAGGAAATTTTGTTGTAATCCCAGAGTTGGGTCTGAGGAAAAGCCAGGTCTATGAAAACAATCAGACATGGGCTCTGAAAGAAATAAGGTTTGACCAATTGTGACCATCCACTCAATTATTTCAAATAATGTCAGATCATCTTAGGTGGATTATTGAAATAATCTGATTGGTCTGATCATGCCAAATAAAAAAACTGGGAATCCCAAGTGTCTGAAATTTGGATGTCTGAAATATAGTTAATAAAACATAAAAATAATGAAGTCAATGCTATTTGTTGAAAATATTATTAAACTTCAGTCATAAAAATTACCTTTAATTATACTAAAATATATTGCATTTTGGCTTGTAGCCTCAATAGGGTTTTTTGTTTCAGTTTAAGTTTGAAATATGCTACATGAATTGGAGCTCAATTAGTATTTATTCAATGAAATAGTGCACACCTGGTAATAAATATAATGACTTTGGATGCATTTACAGAATAGATGAATCAGTACTATCTTTAGTAAGTTGTCCTTATTTTATTAGCCTTGCTATGCCTTTTTCCTGCTTTTAACCCCTTCTCCATTCTTACTCTAAACACTATTCTTTGAATATTTAAAAAGTGTGACTATTCTGAGAATCGCTAGTCTATGTCGTCAGGTAAAACATATTTTTTGACCTAGCTGGCATTATCCTATGCTAATATAACAGTGTTGCTAACATTCTTGCTATTTCATTAATAAACACTTCACTAATTCTTTCTATTAATCATGAGTTCATGGAAAGGGAGTGTGACATCTGATCTCTTGAGATGGTCCATAGGCCAGAGTTGGTGCTTGCTTCATTCTACTTCAGATCATGTCAGCTGTGAGTGAGGAGGCTAGTATTTTTTTTCAGTTTACCCAGCATAGGACCTCTCTGTGTCTTCCTGTTCTGATAAAGAAGAAACAAGGAGTATAAACTTGCCCACTGGACACAATTTTGTGCGTGTGTAGTTTAGCAAAATTCACAGACTACCCATCAGAAACCATACACTAGGTGTTCATTCTTCTGATGATGGATGTAATTTAATATTTGTCATTGAATCACAAAAATGGGGTAATTTGATAGATAATGAAATAAAATAGTCTTAATGCCTCTGTCTTCTCAATCTTCCACAAAAGCGGAAGGAGAAAGGAGGCATCAAGCAACATTTTATTTTGCTTATGTATTTTGTGGATTAGGAATTCAGACAGCACAGCAGAGATAGCTTGTTTCTGCTTCACCTGTCGGAAGCTTCAGCTTGGGAAGATTTGAAATACGGGGCATAAATCAAACCGTGAGAGGCTACATTCATCTGGAGGCTTCTTCACTTACATGTCTGGCACCCGGGCTGACATGACCTAAAGGCTGGGCTCAGATAGTTTTATCAAACAGAGCTCTGACACATGGGCTGTCCATGTGGCTCGAGCTTACTCTCAGCATGGTAGCCTCTGGGTAGCTGACCTTATGAATGTGCATTCCAGCAAAAAAGATGGCAGCTGCATGGCCTTTTGTGACCTAACCTTGGAAATCACTTCTGCTATATTGGTCAACACTGGCACAAGGCCACTAAGATGCAAGCGGAGAAGAACAGATTTGATTTCTTGATGAGAAGTTTGTCGTGGAATTCTGGTCTTGCCTTGAAAGTGCACCAGAAGGCATAGGTTTTCTCTGAATCAGCTTCATTCAGGTGTCATGGATAGCACTCAGATTGTTTACTCCATGATTCTTTGGTGACTCTATTTCAATGTGCATAGACCCTTTTCATTCTATGTGAGATGAACACTTTACTGACACAAGAGAGATAATGAAAGACTAAATTTTGCTGAGTGCTGACTGATTATATGTTTTGTCCTTATCCCCACTAAACTCATATTAGCATTACATACACCTAATCTATTCTGGGACTAGTGGCGTCTTTGAACCCCTTGGACATGTTTCTTTCCAGGGTCACTGAGCTTTTGAAGACTGCATTAGTCTGTTTTCACATTACTATAAAGAAATACATGAGACAGCATAATTTATAAAGAAAAGAGGTTTAATTGGGTCATGGTTCTGAGGCTGCAGCATGATGCTGGCATCTGCTCAGCTTCTAGGTAGGCCTCAGCAAACTTACAGTCATGGTGGAAGACAGAGGGAGCAGGCATGGCACAGGGCCAGAGCAGGAGAAAGAGAGTGAGAGGGGAGGGGCTACACACTTTTAAACAACTGGATCTCATGAGAACTCACTATCACAAGGACAGCAACAAGGGGATGGTACTAAACCATTCATGCGAAATCTGCCCCCATGATCCAGTCACCTCCCACCAGGTCCCATCTTCAACACTGGGGATTACATTTCAATATGAGATTTGAATGGGGACACACATCCAAATCATATCAGAGAGGATCTGACTTGATTGGATCAGTTTCCTCAAAGACTCTCTGTCTCCAACCAGATAACTGTATCAGACCACCATCCATGAGGAAAGATTCTCAGAGATTCTCTCACAGAGCCCTTGTCCATTATTGAGAACAAAAAAATTAGGATCCAGAGGATGAAAAAGAACTCAAATTTGTGCTTCTGTAATAAGCGTGGATTAACATAAGAATAGCAGATTTATGCATACCTAAAGTGTCAAATGCTTTATGAGAAGATGTGGGGCCTTCTAAGGAAGAGGATAAAGTTTTTGTCCTTGAAGGAACTTACCATCTTATGCAAAAGGTAGAAAAGTACATGCATCTTCTCAAGAATGTGCAGCCACTGCAGAAATATGTAAAATTAAACACACCATGGAAACATACAACTAGGTATAACCATACTTAATAGCTGAGCTGGAATGCATGAACAATTAGAGCGAGGTGGTATTAACAACAAGGAGTGCTCAGTAGTGAAGGTGCTCTTAAGGGGAGGAAATGGATTCCATAAAGATGAGATAAAGAAGGCATAGTAAGAAGGAAACCCGGAGGTCTCCCTAGGTTTCAGAGAGGTTGAGATAGTTTGAGTTCTACTTTCAGAGAGGTGTGCTTTTTGACTACATTGAAATTTTGATTCTAATTCTAGCTGCCTAGAAATATATTCCACCTAATATATTTCCTCCTACCAACTCTCTCCTCCATCCAGCTACCAAGATCATAGATTTCATGACAGCAAGCCCCCTGCATCACTAGCCTTGGTGTCTTCTGCATAATCTAGAATAATACTTTAGTGGAGGATGTGACAGGTACATTTTAATGGAATTGAATTACCTTGAGCAGACTTAGCCCTTGATACCTCATGACCAGCCCACACCTTGTTAGATGTCTATTTCCTGTGTTCCTAGGACTTCCCTGGGATTATTTTATTAGTAATAATATTATTGTAGTTTTTGAGACAGGGTCTCACTCTGTCATTCAGGCTGGAGTGCAGTGTTGCGATCTCAGCTCACTGAAACCTCCAGCTCCTGGGTTCAAGAGAATCTCGTGCCTCAGCCTCCCAAATATCTGGGACTACAGGCGTGCACCACCATGCCCAGATAATTTTTGTACTTTTAGTCGAGACAAGGTTTCTCCACATTGGCCAGGCAGGCAGGTCTCCAATTCCTAAACTCAAGTGATCTGCCTGCCTTGGCCTCCCGAAGTGCTGGGATTACAGGCATGAGCCACCATGCCTTGTCACTCTGGGGTTATTCTTGCATCTGCTTTATAATCAGAACTCTTTCCATAAAACGATGCTGTTCCTTTGGCAACCTACACAGCTGATTTCATTGAGCAGTCATATTATGCTAGTTATACTCTATTACTCTTTTGGGCATACCAGTTTTTGTTGAATGAGCTCAGGGCCTAAGCCAAATGTAAAATGTGTGTGTGTATATATATATACACATATATTTGCATGCATGTATGTGTGTATATATAAGTATATACAGATATGTAGATATCTGTTTTCAAATACTCTTAGAAAGAAAGGCCCCATCTAGATTTCATAATTATTTCTCCCTCTCCACACTTAACACATTTTTGTTTTTAGCATTTCCTTTTCTCATTTCCTGTTGACATAGTTCTAGGTTTCAAGGCTTATTTATTCTCCTTGTGCATGTACATTTCATACATTTCTAATCTGAAAGCTTCTGTCATTCTCAAGGAGGCAAAGCTAATGAAAACTCACATCATCATGGTGCACAGGCAGAACTAGCCCACAGAAGCCCTGCTTGTTGGTCAAAGCTGGTCCAAGACTCCTTTTGCCAAGATACTGCTGCTGCTACTAATCCCCTCCTAGCTCCTTGGAGTACAGCCCAGAAAGGACAGGTTAGTTTGGGCCCTGACAAGGTTATCAGAAAAGCCCCAACACCAAAGACTAAAAATCTGACACTCACAATCCTCACAATGAAGTCAACACAAAACAGAAAGTGATCCTGTTCTTGTAATCTTAGCTCTGCCCAGGTCACCATCTTGCCTGGCTGGTTTTGTTGATGCCAGCATAATGTGACACAGATTCCAAAGGCACAGCCATTTCCAGGACCACAGGGTGGTGGATTATATAACCAAGCTGGGTAGTGTCAGGTTTATCAAAGGCTGATAACTAACAACTCGCAGCTACTTGTCTTGGCCAAAAATGAGGCGGAGTGAAACAGCTCAAAATTCTGCACAGTCAAATTGAACACATAGTTTATTATAATTTATTTTCTATGCAAAATCTATAGGTCATTTAAAATTCTTTCCTTAATACTCTTTATCAGCTGTGCATCTCAAAGCTGATGATGGTACAGGAAACAATTGTGTAATAAGACCCCTAAAATGGTACGAATGTTTGAGTAGATAAAAGGGCCAGCAGTTGGTGAATTAGCAACCTGAATTCAAATTTTAAATTATGTAACCTCAGGATATACAGGTGATAGAAGACAAAGCACCAAATATTTAAACAGGAAAAAGTAAAGGTTACATTTCAATCAGTAATGCAATCATTTATTTAAGATGCAGAGGGTCATCAACTCAGCCACCAATACTTATGACTTGAGAATGTTGAGTTCTATGACTCACCATGGGAAGGATCTGGGTTTCAACTTGTGTCTAAAAGGGAACATTTATTTTAAAATTTTCCCATTCTTTACCCCACATTGGCCTGATAATCTGTATTGTGGCTTACAGAATCTTACAGACAAAGTTGAAGTGAGAGAGAAAGCGAAGAATGGGCACATAAAAGGGAATTTGCCCAGATCTAGTCCTGAAAGACCTACAAGATCCTGCATTTTTTTCAGGTTTTTCACTAATTTTAAAGACTCTGAGAAGTCTTAATCTAGATCCAGGCTCAGGTAAAAATCTAAAATGATCGAAGTCTGTGCATGATCTCAATTTTCACACACTCTCCTCTTGGCACTAGCCAGAGCTACCCTTTCCTTTTGGGAAGATACTGGTAGAACATGATTGAGTTATTAACTATGGGAATTATTTTGACCTTAAACAAAAACTTGTATTACATGAACTATTATTAAGAATAATGATATATTACACATGTAGAGAGTCTCATCACTTTTTAAGACATTGTTGTGTCTATCGAACAACTTTGCCAAGCAGATCAAGAAAGCATTAGCCTCATTTCATACAGCAATTTACTGTAGCTCTAAAAAGATAAATAATTTACTCAAGAAAAATTAGAAAGTGGGTAGCCCAATGCACTTCCCATCACAAGGCTTTTGTGAGTCTTTCCAAAATGTGTTCCTTGGAACACTAGCTGTATCAGGCAGAATAATGGCCCCTTCGAAGTTGTCCACATCCTAATCCCTGGATCCTGTGACTGTATTACTTGACATTTCAAAGGGTAGTTATGATTGCAGGTGGAATTAAGGTTGCTAATTAACTGATCTGAAAATAGAGAGTTTATCCTGGATTATTTGGGTAAGCCCATTACAATCACAAGGTCCTTAAAAGTAGAAAAGGGTGTAGAAGAGGTGCTGCCCTGTGAGAAGGGACCAGTCTGCTGTTGTTGGCTTTAAAGATAAAGAAAGGGGGCCCTGAGTCAAGGAATGCAGATGGCTCCAAAAGTTGGAAAAGTTAAGGAAATGAACTCTCTCCTAGAACCTTCAGAAAGGAATGCAGACACCTTGACTGCGGCCCAGTGAGACCTGTGTCAGATTTCTACCTAAGAACTATAACATATTTGTATTGCTATAAGTTACTCAATTTGTGATAATTTGTTGAAACAGCAGTAGAATACTAATGCACTAGTCCTGTGACAGGTTTTATTAACAAGTGTTTTCTAAGACAATGGTATGGTGGTAAAGAAAACCTGTTAGTAACTGTCAATTTGTGTGGCGTAACTACTCCCACCATGGCCAATTTCAAACTACCACAGTGACATCACTGAACTCAGAGTTGGGAAGAGATGCCCACAACCTTAAGCTGGTATGGGCCAGCTGCAGCATACCACTGGAATAAGTTTGGGAAACTGCATACTTGGCCCCTTTGGAATTTCACTATACATATTAGCTTTATTAGAGGTTTATTAGAGGTAGCCCTTCAGATAAGACATCTGCTTAACTTTACTTAACTCAGCATTCCAAACTTATTTGACATTTTTTCCCCTAAATAATACACATTGTGTGGAAACTTGGACAGTCAGTGACAAAATCGTTACCAGCTGCTCTGTCTGCTGTCTCCCAATTCAGATTTTTTTTCCGCTCTGCCAAAACGTGCCCCCAGTTTGTTAACAGATTTTACTTTTTTATTGTTATCTACCTCATAATACTTGGGGACAATGAGTGTAGGGGCCATAACATAGGAGGAGCAGAACTAGGGAGAAGTAGTTGTGGCTAGCCCTTTGTCCCTGACCGCCCGCTTTGCAGAGCAAGGCAAGTAGCAGCAAGCAGCTGATTAAAAACTGATCTCTATTGACATCAAGATCTACTGACTGAGGAGCACTTCTCTTCCAACACAATCAGTCCAAATTGTCAACTGAATGAGGGCCACCTTGCTTCAAAGGGACCAGCTTTTGACTGCTAGGTGTAATAGGATAAATGTAATAGGATAAATGACATTTGCCCTGTGAATACTACTCCACGTAATTCCCTCTCTAGGCTTTTCAGAAGCTTGGGGGAATCTTTTGATAATGATTTAATTTTTCCCCTGAGCTTGTTAACTCCGCTTGTTAAGGGCATAGGGTTGGGGGTTGGGGTGCTTTAATCTTGCTAATTAACTACATTTCTGTCTCTTCCTGTTTAGATAATTTCTTTTGGATGACTCATCCTCTTTAGGGTAAATGTTCAGTCTGTCAGATTTCCCAACCATTTCCCTCTTCTTCCCCGAGATGGTGCCATATGTCTGGGGGTTTGAGGCCAGGGGGCGATCTTTTAATCCTGAGGCAGCAGTGTCAAGCTTCTGTGAATGCAGGTCCTTGTTGGGTGCACTGTTTGTTCTTGGGCTCTGTGGTGACGCAGTTAGTCTGTGCCAACCCATGGGGGTCTGCTGATAGGTGGCTGTCTCCTCATGGCCTGCAGAGATCGTGCTGAGACATGTGTGGCTTTGGCCATTGCCTGAAGCCTCTGGTCTCCACGCTATGCTGCCCTTGCTTCTGGCCAGACTTCTGCCAGCTCTCCTAACACTTCTGTCTTGCCGTCATTCGCGTTTACGGGATCCAAGTATATCCCACACAGAGGAGTACCACTTCAGGCTATCAAGGGCCATCTCTCTTGATGCTGCATTGTATACTGGTGGCATACTGGTGGCATGTTGGATGAGACACAGAGAAAAATGTAGAGCTTCTCCATCCCCCAAATTACAACACAGAAAGTGGGTCACTAGCTCCAGTGTTCCTGGATTTCCCAATACGTTAGGGAGCAGCAGGGATTAGACACTTAATAACCTGGCTCTATCACCTCTTTACTTTTCTTTACATTCTACTGTGTTCAAAGAAATGGCTTCCTATTGTATCTTCTTACCTGCTTTCTGGTTGAAACACTTCTTAGGTCACATCTATTTCAATAGGCTTCATGGCTTAGCTTTCACGGGTGGCAGAGGTAACTTCTACGTACAAAATAAAGGACTCTAAAATATGAGGTGGCCAGGTTTGGTTTGTGTATAAAGAATAATTGAACAACTAGAAGGGAAGAGTCACCTAGGATGAAAATACGTTGATTTAATATCCTGGCTATTCCCATTATAACTGCTGATAGGATTGTGCTAATGGGAATGTAAAGCCTCCTTTTCCCCATTACAGAATTGCTGAAGATTATAAATAAATCTCATTGCATTGCTTCTCAGCCTTTTGGCTAAGATCAAGTGTAATAAATCTCATTGTGCTTTATGCCTAATGTGTGCTTATATTAAACTGATTTATCCATAGGAGATAAGGTGTTATACTCCTAGTGGACAATAGTATTCATAATGTGCTTTTAGTGAACTCAGAGGAATGTATTTTCCAGATGAAAGGCTTTTTCCCCCCTTTCTATTTCTCTAGTAATTTGTATTTTGTTCCAGTAGCATATATTACACCTATAGTAATTACTTGTTTCCATATCTTTCTTCCTGCCTCCCAACATTTCTCCACATGTACACTAAGCATACATTACCATAAGAGCTGGAATCCTGTGATATTTATGTGTGTACATTTTCACATGTATATCTCAAGTTCTGTGCCTGGCACACAGTTGCTGCTCAATTCATGAATGAGTCAAGTGACTTGCTAAGTAGCCATTCAGCAAATAGGCAGCAGAGAAAAAAAATCTTGTTTCACCATCCATACCAAGTCTCTTGTGGGGGCACAATAACTCAGCAGTGGGACTGACTCAAGAGAAGTGAATCACAGCAGATTGAAAACTTCACTTTCAGAAATGGGATATTTTCATTGAATTTGACAACATGAATTGACTGTGTACGAACCATTCAACCAATTTTGAATGTTGAATGAGGCTCCAGAGCAATATTTTTTATGGCAAAATAAGAATTAGCATGGACAGAGAGTATTTTTTTTCTACCAGCCGGACACAAATTATTAGCATGTTCAATCTAAGAGTTTGATTATTGGGATGATACTTCTACTGCCACCAGTGCAAGTATTCTGAATTCTCTTTCCCTTGAAATAAATGGGCCTCTTTCTTATTCCTCTACCTGGAATGAGGCAATCATGGTCCAGTTATATCAGCCATCTTGTAACCATGAGATTGTGGGTAACCTGCTAGTGATGCTGGTACACAAAGCTGGAAGGAGAACATGTTGTCACTGATAGTAATAGGGCTGTCATAATAGGCCTATATTGTCTATCTCCAAAAATTCTCCTACAATGTCAAGGGAGGGCCTCAGTGGCTAAAGTAAACTCACTTTCCTACTGGTCCAGAGATCTTCAACAGCAGAAATCAAGAGAGAGATTCGTCAAAGAAATGAAGGCTCCTCTGCAAGACAGGATGTGCCCACTAACAAGAGTTAAATAAAAACTTCAGAATTCAGTATGCATTACATGAATCAATATATAAAAAGAGGTAAGAACAGTGCTTGGCATGATTAAACACGATGCGTTTGCTCTCATCATTATTGTTACTGCTGTTGCTGATATTGCTACAGAGTAAACTGCTACTAGCTCCAGTCAATAGGGGTTCTTTGAAAATTTAAATGATTTTATTTTTTTCCCCAGTCTCTACTACCCCAGCCCATGGTAAACATCATTCTGCTCTCTACTTCTATGAGTTCGACATTTTTAGATTCCACATGTGCATGAGACAATGTGATATGATATTTGACTTTCTGTGACTGGTTTATTTCACTTAATATAATGTCCTGCAGGCTTATCCATGTCGTTGCAAATGACAGGATTTCCTTCCTTTTTAAAGCTGTATGGTATTCTGTTGTGTATATATACCACATTTTCTTTATCCATTCATCTGTTGATGAGCACTTAAGTTGATTCCATATTTTGGCTATTGTGGTAATGTTGCAATGAATATGGGAGTGCAGAGATCTCCTTGACATAATGATTTCATTTCCTTTGTGTATATATATACCCAATGGTGGGATTGCTGGATTTTAAACTATTTTAAATTCAAAAATTAATTCCTACTTATTGCAGAAAAAGTTAGTATAGGTAGGTTAAAAAAGGAAAAAAATAAAATACTACCTAAAGATAATCATAAACAGTTTGATCTATATACGTATGTTTCTCAAAAAGCATTACATCATGCTATGTTTACTATTTTACAAAGTACTTCTGTTTTAACTATAATATTGTTGATATCTTTTTAATATTTTCTACTCTAAATGCAAAATTATACTGATTTTTAATATATCTTACCATTTAATGAGGCGTTAGATATATATAATTCTATATATATAAATTTATATATACATATGTTCTACATTTATATATTAACATATATATTTATAATATATATTTTTCTCATAATAAAGAAAGCATTTGGCTTCATTATTTTATATTATTTTATTGTATTTTATATCATTTTATTCATTATATTTTGTATTATTTTATTATAGCCAAAAAATCTTTTGTGCTTTTAGAAATTTCTTCTTTTTTAAATACGAGAATTTTTTTTATTGTGCTATGCAATTGATTAGTAAATTATTCACTGGACCTGGTTTTGAGTCACAGCTTCAGCTGTGACTGTTTCTCAAGAGAACCACATACTGCCTTCACACTGTCTCAATGCTGCTGGAATACACCAACTAACTCTAAAGTCTGTTGTCTTGAATATAATGTAAGCTAAGTTGTTTAAAATATAGACCTATTTCATGCTGTGCATTTGCTGGTGAAGAAAGATTTTAGACTGATTGTGAGCATGCTGTTTGAAAGAGTGAGTGGCTCAGCAGTTTGGAACTGTTTCTAATAAAAACACAAAACCATAACTGCCTTTGGGTCATCAGTCCAACAGGTTATAGTGATGTAGTATGAAGTATCTGTGTGTCCCAGACCAAACTGATTATCCTGGATGCTAAACTGAGAACTTACAACAAAACAGAACAATAAAAAAAAAAAAAAATCCCTGGTCTACTGTAACATCCTAATTGTAATCTAAGATAAACACAACACGCTAAGCTACAGAGGACTCTTGTATTTTGTGTAGAAGGGGATTTATGAGCACATTAGTAGGGAAAACCGAGGTAGGTGAATGAATGTAATGAAATTTTAAAGGTAGAACAATTTAATAACCTCTTCATTAGGATACTCCTGTATAAAAGATTCTATTTTGTACACTTTATTCTTATCTATACTATAAAGTGCTATATAACCTCTAACTGACAAAATATTCTGGCAGCATCTTTTGGCTTAGTTAGGTACTATGAGAATTCAGAGATAACAACATTGCATTCATTTAAGTGTGTTATATTATTAATCTTGCCATCCAGTATGTCTTTTTACAGTCTATTACATTTAGACCTAGAGAAATTGTCAATTGACAGAGAATATGTTTTAGTATCAGTATCTTGAAAGCAAATTTGTATTCCTTTTGATGCTGAAATTGTGGATTTGCAGTAGAACAATACAATCATTGTGTAGTATAACAGGTCTCATAATTCAGTGTAATTGGAAGTCAAAGATTGTATGGGAATGGAAAGCAAAATATAAAATGATTAGTTGCCTAGGAGAGTTTTCTAATTTTTCTACAGAGTATTTATTGGTTAACACAAACTTCAGAAAATATATCTTCTGTGATTTATGTTGTACTATAAAATATTTAATTACATATAACTCTCAATTCTCATTTGTGTGTGTGTGTGTGAATGTGCACATGTGCCAAATCAAAACGTGATGCAATTCTAAATGCCTTCTAAGAAACAGAAGCTAGTAAGGAGTACGGCCAAATTTTGGGGTGAACTATTCATAGAAAGTGACATCTGCAAAGCCCAGTGTCTAATAAAAACACAGGACAAATAAGTAAATGTTTCCTTTTCTTACAGACATTGAACTTTTTGTAGGAGACAGATGTTATTACATTACCTGGTTCCAAATGACTGCTAGAGAGTGAAGAATAAAAACAGCATTTTACTTTTTATGTTTATAAAGTTCAATGATCTAATTTAATTTGCTTATTGTAAATAAAATCAGTTTTAATAGTCCTATAAACTAAGAGTCCGTTAATTAATGGAGAATTTTACAAAAATAGGATGAATTTCTATTTATCTCTGCTGTAGTCAAACATTTACTAATAGTTTTATTAAAACAATTTTAAATGACCACAATTATATTTGTTATGTGTAAAATGGGTGTGATGGACTCACTAATGTCTAAGGTCCATTTCACTTTAAAATTATATCCTAAGTTATTTCTCAATGACGTTTAGCATTTTCCAAGTTGTTTGAGAAAAAGAATTTTTTAGTTTTTCTTCAATGCCACTGAAACAGAGTGTTTACATTATTTTAGACTCCTTAAATTGCAAACGAACTGTTCTGCCATCTGTGCAAGTGAATGCATAATAATACATAAGATTATTTGCTACAAATTAAACTATTTTATATTTTTTAACCAGGATTAACCATGTTTCATCTATAAGAAACTAAAATTTAGACTTTTCTGTATTTAAACAGCACGACAAAAGTGACCCAAAGTGGTAGGACAATTTCTACCTACCTGTAGACTATAACACTCAGGTGGCTGGGTGTGGTGGCTCACACCTGTAATCCCAGCACTTTGGGAGGCCCAGGCAGGCAGATCAACTGAGGTCAGGAGTTTGAGACCAGCCTGACCAACACAGAGAAACCTCATCGCTACTAAAAATACAAAATTAGCCGGGGGTAGGGGTGGCACATGCCTGTAATCCCAGCTACTCGGGAGGCTGAGGCAGGAGAATCAATTGAACCTGGGAGGCAGAGGTTGCGGTGAGCCAAGATCGTGCCATTGCACCCCAGCCTGGGCAACAAGAGTGAAACTCCTTCACAAACAAATAAACAAACAAAACACCCAGGCTTTGGTATATCGGCCCTGAAGGGTGGAGATGAGCCTGTCAAAACAAATAGCTTCCTCTCCAAAGCTCTAATCTTGAAATGCTCAGAGCTCACCTTAGAGAGTCTTAGTGGGCTGGAAGCAGACTGTGTACTTGTGAACATCTAAATCCATCCCATGGCTATTGTAAACAAGATTACCCAAAAGAGTTTTGGGAGATTAGAAAGGTCAAAGAGGACATGGTCACAGAATGCAGGAGAGGATGATTAGAAACTAGGAATGCTCTATAAGGCAGTTTGGGGTTATGTTGTGATTTATAAGGGAGTTTCATTGATTCCTTTAACAAATAATTGTTGAGCAGCTCCAGAGTAAAAGACATTGTGCTACGGTCATGGAGGGTCTAGCTATGCTGTCCAGTATGTAGATACTATTCACCTGTGACTCTTTAGATTTAAATTTTACTGAATTAAAATAAATAAAAATAAAGCTCAGTTCCCATTTGCACTGGCCATATGTCAAGTACTCAGTAGCCACAATGTAGCTAATGGCTATCGTATTGGACAGTGGGAATATAAAATATTTATGTCATAACAGAAACATTTATTGGAGAATGCTGGCAGAATAGTCAAAGATATCCTGGTGCTTTTCATGCTGGTAACCCACTTGAGCAGATTATGTAAACAAATAGATGCAATAGCAAACAGTGTATCATATGAGCAATTTAAGAGGTATAGATAAGATAACTGAGTGACTTCAGAGAAAAAAAGAAAATTACATAGGATTGTCAGAATAGAGTCACAGAAAAAGTACACTTTGAAGTCAGGACTGAAGAAAGTATGAAGAAAGTCATTGTCTTAGCTTGGGATACAGTAACAAAACACCATAAACTGAGTGGCCTAAATAACAAATATTTATTTCTTACAGTTGGAGACTGGGAAGTTCAACATCAAGGTGCTAAAAAATTTAGTGTCTGGTGAGGGTTTACTTCTTGGTTTGCTGATGGGTACCTTCTCATGGTATCCTCACATGGCAGCGGGTTGTGGGGAGGAAGAGAGAGAGAAAGGAAGCATGCTCTTTAGTATCATGTCTCATCTTAAAAGGGCGCTAATCTCATTCATGAAGCCTCCACCCTCACGACCTCGTCTAATCCTACTTACCTCCCACAGACCCCGTCTCCTAACACCTACCCATCACATTAGAGGATACGGTTTCAACATATGAATTTGAGGGAAACAAGCATTCCATCCCAAACAGCAGTTGAGGACAAAGTGAAAATGTTCTCTCTATAAAGGAAGATGTGAGTTCAGAGGCAGGAACAGATGGCAATTAGGCTTGGGTAAAGAGCTCAGGAGAGGAGGGGATGAAAAGGCACCTGAAGCCATTGGTATTCTAACTGTGAAAATCCTTGAGGGCTAAGAATTTGAGCTTTTTTTTCTGAAGGGACTGGGAAACCGCTAGAATTTCTGAGTAAGAAATGTGATCCAAGTGTTATTTCAGAAAGATATATCTGGCAGCGCTGCGCAGACTGGGTAGGGTGGAGAGAGAGGAAGTTGATAGACCATATTAAAGTGTGTGGAAAATAGACCATATGTGCAGTTGTAAGGACCTGAACTTGAGTATCTGCAACTTACTCTGGACACACAATATAGTGAATCTTGAATAAAATAAGCTTTTTACAAACTAACAGCATTATTAGAAATCCAGGTCCCCATATTTCCTTAAATGACTGCTTTTCTACATGTCTCTTTTGTTGCCTTCAGTCAGAAGGATGCAGATTGCCCATACTTCATAGCAGAGCAACAGGAGGGACTTAGGGACAAAAAGGTAAGATCCGGGGGAAAAATATGTAAGGAAATGGGAATAATTCAGGCTGAAGACAGAAATAGGACCAGGCACATGGAAGTCACTTGAGACGTGCAGTGTGCTGAAATCTTCATCTGAACAGCATCCACCTTCAGTGACAGTTTCGCTTATGCAGTGGTGTGGTGGAGCCTCTTAGCACTGCCTCGTGAGATGCCATTGTGTGCATGTCTTCTCAATTTTGTTTTCAGTGAAGTCTCATGGTGAGAGTGTTTACACTATGGAAATTGGCAAATGCTATAAATCAGGGCTGCTTCTATCCCCAGCTGTGCCCACAGGAACTACTCAGACAAGCCTGATCTCTTCTTTAAAAGACAAGACTAGAAACTAAAGACACCAGGCTGGGCATGATGGCTCACACCTGTAATCCCAGCACTTTGAGAGGCCGAGGTGGGTGGATCACCTGAGGTCAGGAGTTCGAGACCAGCCTGGGCAACATGGTGAAACTCTGTCTCTACTAAAAGTCCAAAAAAAAAAAAAAAAAAAAAAAAAAGCCAGGCATGGTGGTGTGTGCCTGTAATCCCAGCTACTGGGGAGGCTGAGGAAGGAGAATCTCTTGAACCTGGGAGTCAGAGGTTGCAGTGAGCCAAGATGGCGCCACTGCACTCCAGCCTGGGCAACAGAGTGCGATTCTGTCTCAAAAGAAAGAAAAGAAAGAAACTAAAGACACCATTGCACCTGAGCAGCCATACCAGGGCATAGAGGCCAGTTCTTCCAGCCTGAAGTTTATAGTCCTAGGTGTACATATGGCTGTACATTGTTTTGTAATATCACATACATCTTAAACTACATATACGAATACTTCAAATATACTAAGCGTTTTTAGATTTATTCTTTCTCTCTTGCTTTGCTATAGAGCTGTTCAGGAGTTCACCCAAGAGAGTGGAGACTACCTCTTCCTGATTTCCTTGTACAAATTTTATGTAGCTTGACCTGTGATTTATGGACAGGAAAGCTGTCTGCATAGTTACACTCTTACCAACTGATGTGTATAGCATGTCTCCCTTCAAGTTTAAAGAATATTTTTTTCTGTCTTTTAATAGGCTTACTCTCCTTTATAACTCTGCACTTTTTCCTACTGCAGCAGTGGAGAGAGATACTTCCAATGGCTGTTGTTTTACTGCAACTACTACTTGCCATTGATTGAGTGCACCTGGCACTTTCTATGCACCCATTTCATTTAATCCTCATCACCATCCTTTTAGTTAGAAAATATGATGTCCATTTGTCAAATGAAGAAAGAGGACCTGAGAAGTTAAGACACTTAAATCATACACCCGATTGGTCTCAGATGTCAGTTCAAATCTCTGACCATATCATGCTTAATTCAAATGCTTAACCATTAAGCCACATTGCAGGAAGAAAAATTCTTTTCTGATAGTGAGGGCTTCCAGAAGCCATGGCAGCCACAAAGGCCTTGGTGACCAGGAATCAGGCTTTTTTACTGTGTGCCTAGGAGAATGCATTACCATTACCTTTAAGGGACTGTGGGAGAATAAAGGCCAAGGTGCATATGGACACACAAGGGCCCTTGCTCTAGAGATCTTACAGCCTCTGAAACCTCACAGGTGAACATACTTGGTAGTTCTAGTAAAATGCCACTGAGAATTCCCAGATTGAGGCAGGGTCCTCAGATTGAGAAAAGTTATAACCAAATTTTTCCAAGTTATGCCTCGTCCTGAAGCCCTGGGGCTTTAAGAACAACAGTAACAAACTATTTAGGCATTTCTAAGACTTGTAAGTAGGAAAAGAATTATTTCAGAGATGGAACCTAAACATACAATTGTGGGGGGAAAATGCACTTTGTGAATACCTTGAATATTGTAGCATAGATAAATGACTCGAGGATTAAAAATGCATGAAACATGCTTGCAGAAGGACCCGATTACAATAGCAAATAAGGCTTAAGGAACTGATGCCATTTTGTGAATTGGGTGTGTAACATGGCAAAGCTATCTCCTTTTATAATGTCATGTTTGTGTATATTCACACTTATGCATGGACATGCATCTATTATAGTAACTCGGTAAAATAACCAGAGGCTATAGAAATTCCTGCCTAGACTTGGGTTTTTAGACATGCTTTCTTTATTCTCAACACCCGTGCACATGAGAAACTGCAGCTCAAGCACAGACTTGGCAGGCAGAGCCTGTTCACTGTTTTCTTAAACGCTCTTCCTTTCTGTACAGTCGTACCTATTTTAGGGGCACTAAGCAGCCTCACACTCGCCTCTCAGGCTTCTGAAGGGTATTGAGTACTTGTTTGGAGCACATAATTTATGCTGTGCTGAAAAATAGCTGAGACTGTAATGGTGCCCAGAGAACCCAAGTTCTCTGAAGACCAAGATCACATTAATATGCAGTATTTCATTTACAAACCCCTTCTAAGTAGGTTTGAGAGGATAATGCCTTGTTTGAATAATAATATAGCACATTTTACTTTTCAAAGTGCTTTCACATAAATCATCCATCTCATTTTATTTTTGAAACAATGAGGGAGATAAGGCCAGGATTATTACCTATAGGGAATCAAAAGCTCAGAAAGGTCAAGTGATTTACTCAAAGTCACATTGCAAGTTCTCTGTAAAGCTGAGATTAGAAGCTGTGATTCTCCCATTCCCAGCTCAGCTGGGTCTTTTTAAAAGCGTGTTAGGACCCACAGCTTCATGGGTGGAATACTGAAATTCTCAGGCCCAGCCTCTTGCCTCTAAGTGTTCCATTTCTATACTTTGCTTTTAGCATCATTTAGATGTCGTGGTCTTAAAAAATGGTAATAAATTTTAAATAAAAGTGTATAATTTAATCTTTTCTTTTAGGAAATGACTTTAGAAATTCAACCTGAAAGCATTATCAATTTCTTGAGCTAAGTTTACAAAATTGGATGCAAGTTGCATATGACAGTGATTCTTGATATTTGTTTTTCATCCTTATGTTTAATCATAGGCATGGTTTGAGTTTCATGTGAGATAACTAATGGGAAAGCACTTTGTAATTTTGAAACATTGTGATAGTAAGAGCTGACATGACAGTGTCAGAAATTATTTAATTAATTTAGTTTAACAGTTTCAATTTGTTAGAAATGGTATTTTGACTTGTTCACATAGTATCTATGCTTAGTCCCTTTTTTATAAATTTCATTTTATAATTCTTTTAAATACATACATTCATGTTATTTTATATAATATGTGATTAAATATATGTGTATATACATATATAAATTACTATTTTTGTCTTTATTAAATTCTCATACATACTGGGATTCTCTCACTTAATTTTCTAGTTTTTAAAATATTCTTAAAGCTTATGGGAAATGTTCCAATTAATTCACTCTGGCACCATGATCTGTCTATAACTTCAAAGGGCTATGCTTAAAAATCCAAAAGCCATAAACTAAAGGTATTTTATGGAATTTACTTGACATTTCAGAGGAAAACGAAGGCATTACAAAACAAGCATATTAAGTATACGATTCACATCCCAACAGCTCAAAGGCAAGGAAGACTGAGGAAGCTAAGTTACTGGCCATATGTTTAATAAATATAAGCTTAATGGCAGTGAATGTATTAATGTCAGCGAAGACAAGTCTATGAAGGTATGTAGTCCAGTGTGAACCCTATCTGGCATGCACTGATCTTTCTGTTCATAAGAATCTTAACCATGCCAATCTTCATGATTGTTTTAGCTCTATTATGCAATAGGTAAGTGTCAGCTTTGGGACAGATACCATAGTAACGGTAGACTTACAATTACAGTAGAATCAAAATATATCTTTGTCAGCCAAGTATTTGACAAGATCTTGGTATATCCTTGTGTATATTAAAGAAAGCCAGGCTGGATGAGAACATAGCTGGAGACTGAAAACCGACATTCCAAGATTGTTGATTAGTTAAATGAAATTCTGAATTTTTGCACCACTGAATTCTTTCATTGGCCATGAATGTAATACTTTATCAAAGTTTTGGATGAGAACATTGAGGGCAGGGTTATTCCCGGTTATTCCAGATGACCCAGAGCACTGAGGATTACTTTCACGACAGAAGAACCAAGAATACAAAACCACCTCAACAGATTATAACCAAGTAGTGACATTTACCCAGGATATTAGTAAAGTTCCCCACATTGATTCAAAAAATAAATTGTGTAGATAAACATTGCATTTGAACAATACAAATGTTCTAAGATATTTATACTTTTTGTCATCTTTTTCTGCCACAAATGAGCTGTATAATCTGGCCAGAAATACCTAGGTAAATACGGTGTTTCTCTATTTTACTTTGAATGTAAGACTCAACTTCAGTATCTAAGTGTTAGTGAGTATATTTTTATAAGTACTGTTGTTCCAAATCACTTGCTGTCAGTTTAATTCTGTAAATGCATGACAGGTGCCTAATCTGATTTAAGCATCACAGAACATTCCAGGAAAAAGGAAATGAATAAGATGTCATCTCTGACCTCCAAGGTTTAATGGAGAAGGCAGGCCCCCAAAGCAATCAGTGCAAAGACACTTACAAGAAGGGTGCTGTGGCTACCTAGCTATCAGCTGTGACAGTTGTTCTTGGATTTTCATTTTCATATACACCTCTTTTACCTGAAAGATGTCCCTTGCCCCTTTTTAACTTTGCCTTTTAGGAGTAAGGCAGTGAGCTATTCTCACACCACTGTGAAGTCATCAGTCCATCTTTCCCTGACTAATGGCTATAAAGCAGCAAGAGTTTCCTAATTGGCATTTCAAAGAACACTAGGGATCAATTACACATAAAATGTTTATTTATAAAACTGTCATAAACTACAGGTTCAATTTGTTTGACCTTCTGGTAATTAGCACAGACTTACAATAGAGAAAGTTAGGTTACACCAAATACTTTTATTCTTGTTATTTCTACAGGAAAGAATCAAAGCACACAAACAAAACAAAAAAAGTAATAGCAGCATATTCTTCCCGGTGGGAGCAAGAGAAGAAAAGAGTACTCTACCTATCCCCTTTGCCTTCATCTTCTTTCTAAAGGCAAATATGCATTCTCAATCAAGCACATTTGCATTTGGAAATAATTTCCTTGTTGTTTAAAAGGCCTCACTTTTACTCGTCTTGCTCAAAGAACACAGGTGTATCAAAACACTTTAGGTTATTCCCAAATTGTTTTTCCCAGATTGTTTTCTTCAGAACACTAGACCTGAGGGAATTCAGTGGTAAAGGGGTACAAAACTGTTATTAGGCAAGTTTTCCCTCTCTTAGAAATTCACAAGACACTTTACCATATTAGAGTCTTATCCCTTGGTTTAACCAACTATGTTCTGACATTATGTGTTTCCTTGTGGTATTAATTATTTAGTTTTATTGCTTTCAGAAGCTTAGTGTTACTACTATTGACAATATCTACTTTACTAAGGGAGAAATTATAGAGAGGCCAAAACACCTCAAAATTTAGAATGGGAAGAGGAAATGAGGAAAGTGTGTGTGTGTGTGTGTGTGTGTGTGTGTATGTGTATGTGTATGTGGGTGTGTCTTGGGGAAAAACTGAGACACTGTGAGAAAATATTATAATTGAGGTTTTCTTAAATTAGCATTTAGGACCACTAAATAAATAAATTTCACTGTTCACAGAAATTTTAAGAACACATGATATAATTAAAAACAACTTAAACTAAATTATTCCTTTGGCAGATAAGTTCATGTGGTTACAAATTTTCTGGACTCATGAAATGTATAATATGTAGTATTATTTTAAACAGGTCAACATCACTGTAGAAAGATACTAAACCTTAGAAACCTGTGAAGTGGGAAACACTAATATCCCAATTTTACAGTTAAACAGGCACAGAGAGGCTAAGAGTCTTGCCAAAGGCCACAGAGGAAGGAAGAGACTAAATCTGGAACAAACTTTCTATTCTCCATTTCCAGAAGAAACCACTAAACCATGCTTCCTCTTGTCATGGAAGCTTAAAATATTTGGTATGGTCATCTTGCCTTTTTTTTTCTTTCCAGTGACTGTATAAAGGCTTTCGAGATGGTAGTGGTCAAGCTGTCCCTTTCTTTTGCAGCCTTCTCTATGCTTGTCTCCTTGGTGGTGCAGCAGCAGCTTATATTTTCTTTGCTTGGCTTAGGAAGCTCCCTTTGAGGGTTTCTGAATCCCTGGCCTTTTGGTGATGTTTGATGCAACAATCCTCTTTACCTGCAACCCACATCACTGACCTTGGAGCTCAATGAACTTTTCATTTACATGCACAGTCAAATTAAATTTGCCTGGCCTTTGAAAACTTACATCTGTTGAGTGTATAATTTGTATTGCCATTTGTTCCACAGATGTGTAACAAGACAAATACCTGTCCAGGCTTATAAGGGATTCAGAAATGCTTACGTTAATCATGCTGGTGGAAAGAGGTTAAGGGCGATACAATAAATCAGTCTCCAAATGGTTTCACTTGGAATGGCCTGGGAGAACAGGGTTATTTTTATCCTAGGATGCTTTTAATTTGAATCAAAAATACTTTACCACATGTTCTGCCACAAGTTCAAAAGGATTGGTAACAAACATTTAATCTTTTTCTTTTCGTATTGGCGCTAAGCCCTCATCAAAAAGCGTATGCAGTCAGGCAGCTTATCTCCACTGAGCTGCTTCCCTTAATGTGTTCCTAATTATAATCGTATATATGGCTCACTGTGGCTGATTGAACAATATGGCAGTAATTTCTTTACAGGCCTCCCTGCTCTTTGAACTGTGAGTACAGAGGGCTAGAACAGAACCAGATCAATGGGATTTGAGTGCTGGCAAATCAAGCCAGATGCGATCTTTAGAGAATGAGTTTCCAGCTGTTTCCCAGAAAGGGACTTCAACAGACAGCTGGGGACCTTATCATTATCATCATGATCATCATCATCATTCCCAGTAAATACACTCACAACTCTTTACAAAACGTGCAACTATTCTCATCTCTTCCTAAATCATTACCCACCATAAAGTCTCCCAAATGCTTTGAAACTGTGACTATGTAAAACAGATAAGCCTGTGACTGATGATGTGGGAATGGAAACATAATAGTATTATATTGACACTATATATTTGTCAGTGCTGCAAGATGTGCAGCTGAAAGCAATGTCCAAAATTTATTTTTAAGATACCAAATACTCACAACATTTCCATGTGTTTGTAAGAGGGAGATAACATAATCCTCATTTTCTTGGTCAAAATGGCATGTTATTGCTTTGTGCGTACATCTTTGTGTCCTCCACATCACTATCACCGTGCCTTGTTCGAGGCAGTATCCAATAAATGTTTCTAGGAAGAATAAGTGCTTGCTTTGTATAGAGCCTTGTGCTGTGGGGGAAGACAGCAAGCTTAATACATCCAAAGGAAGTTGCTGTGGCCCTATAAAAGGCTCCCAATTAAAGAGACCCTAATATATGAATTTAAAATGATAATTACTTTGAACAATTTAAGGATCATTAAAATGAAAGAAAATGTCCAATAGCAGAGGGACTCACAAGCTTTCCCAAATGCAACTGACCGAGTTAGCTGGTCTATGTGAAATAATTTATGCCACCTTCAAAAGCCTACCTCGTAAAAATTCTTCCTCTTTAGCCTGCTCTGGGGTTCCTAAGTCCTGCTCTTGGCCTCCCTTTTTCAGGACTGTCTGTGGATCCAGGGAGGAATTTCAGAAGAGCCAGGATTAGTCAATCAAATTAAACTCAATATCACCCAAATAAAGTTGGTCAGGTAAAATAAAGAAGTTGACACGGGAGGTGAAGGTCAGGAGAATGAGAATATTGAGTGATCCTGAGATATGGGAAATGACGAGCAAGTCTAGGGATCTGTTTGGTTTTTGTTTATTTGTTTGTTTTGAGCAGTGCTCATAGAAGAGGAAATCTGAAAGTAGGAGCAGAGTAGGGTGGACATGGAAGAGACACAGTCTACATGACTTTGTTCATACTTTGCTTAAAAGATTTTCTCTAATTTATTTCAACTTTTATATTTCTTAGTAAATTCCTTGAAGATAGGGACCACCAACGATCTTTTGCTCATTACTTATTCTTAGCACTTGAAAAAAAGCAAATACGAAATATTTATTTTTTAACCTTTGTATCATTACTGTATCATAGTAGATGCTCAATAAATATTGGAGTAATAAGTAACTATTTACAATTTTAATTTTAACTATCCTCAACTGAAAAACTCTTCTGGACATTTTAAACTCTGGTTCTCAAACAAAACAAATTAAAAACCTTTTAGAGCTAAAAGTGTATTATAAAATAAAAATGTCTTTCAAAATAGACCTAGAGTGTGCAGCTGATGAATAGCGAATATTTAGTTATATGTACTCAGCTAAACTAAAAGTTCTAGGAACTGTATCATTTTCTATGGGAACAGAGGTAAATAATTTATTTTAATCTGGTATGTATATGTATATAAAACTACATCAGTATTACCTGCATGTGATTAAAATCACACAACATGTCTTGAAACTATTTTTCCTCAGGTAACACAGATAGTAAACATGAATTATTTGGATCTGTGCTCTCCAAATATATTTGATTACTCTCTTTTATCAGTTAAAAATTACAAGAAAAACTTTTGAGCATGCACCCTCAATATATGTATATTTATTCATGAATTGTATATATACTACTACTATTTGTATTAATATTCAATTTCTTCTTTGCTTTAGATCAAACTACGTTTAAATAAGAATTAAAATGCCATTTGTCCATCACCTAATGGCTCAATTTGCTCCTGCCTTGGGTGTGCACACCCTGCTCTGGAACAGACCAGAGCTCTAAAGAAGTGACTGGAAGTTGTGAATGTCATTGTTATGAAGCTTCAAATTTGCTCTCCTCTTTAGGACACAGACATGGCATTAGAGAAGGGCAGAAAACTGCACTTGGCTGTGCATAGAGAACACTAGAGACCTCTTGTGCAAGAGAGGGGACTAGGTTGCGTAGTGTAATGAGAGAAGCATGGGTTTTGAGACCGCTACAATGTCTGTGTCTTCTTGGCCAACATTTCAGTAAGAGTAGTAAGCATATCTCCACAATAGGGTTAAGAGAACCAGTGTCTTCTGAAAAACACATGAAATCATCGTAACCCTGCTAAGTCTGTGCTTTGCAAAAATTAAAACTAAAACTAATTTTCACTATGACTCTGTTATTCTTCCTTGTTCCTAGGCCACAGGTGGGTGAGAAAATTTCGGTTAAGAGTTGGATAAATCAGAGTAAGTTGTTACTTCTGAGGATCAAGGGCAAGTAATTGGATCAGGGATGGGTAAACAGAGGGTTTCAATTCTGCATATTATATTTCAGTGAGTAGGTACAGAGATGATTGTTTTATATCCTTTCCTTCTTATTGAATCTCCTTTTTTTTAAGTGAATAATGAAAAATAGTAGAGATTATACTGGAAATTTAGAAAAGTCCTAGGATTGGGTTTACTACAATAATTTAAATAATAAGGTTAATATGGGATTGTAGATGCATGCATTACACTAAAGAGACTTGTAATGAGGCCCAACTCAGTGGAGTAAGTTGTTAGAGAATTTGGACTTCTTCCTTTTAAGGCTGACTTTGGAAGGGTGAACACTGTGGCATTAAAAAAAAAAGTTTAACTTCCTTTCTGGAGTGCATACCAGTTCTTATAGCTTGTATAAGCCCTCTATTTTATGCCATTGGGTCATCACAAGTTCTGTAAAATTCTCCATTATCATTTTCATGGAAAACAAATCCATTGTAATTCAATTGAACAATTACACATTGATCGTCTAAAATGTGCCAAACATAATACAGAACATGCATTTTATAGGAAAATTGGACTGCTCTAAGATATGTAATAAATCATCTTCAATTTTATGAAAAGGGAAGCCAGGCATGTTAATGGAGTTTGTTTTTATAAACATGAAGTGTTTGGGCATGTTTGATTTTTCAGTTGGGCTGCTCAGCCAAGCTTAGTTAGCACCTTGTAAAAATGAGTTGTTTCTCATTTCCTTAATGGAAAGCAGCGAGAGTCATAGCTAAGATCCCCATATCAGCTGGAGGCCTTCTGTAGCACTCCTTAAGCCTCTGAGGTTAGATCCAGGATGCAAATCCGTCTGGTTACTTGAGACCAGAAAGTGTGTTTCTCCAGAGAATTTAAACTCTCTCCCCATCAGTCATAGACAAGGAAACTATCTAAAAGCAGATCTCTGTTTTCAGATCTCTTAAGTTGGAAGAAAAGTTTTATTGATAAGCATTTACATCTTAATAATTTCTTGAAATATGTAGCTGGTTCATCATTTTTACAATTCATTTGGCCTTCAGAACACGCCATAATTCTGCATCTGTGTGGATATCAATTTTCTTAGTAATATAATGTTAAGAATGTGATAAAACAGGGAGCATGTTGGAACTGTTCCTTGTCCTGTGGCCTTAACAAGCCACAGCTGTATCAGCAGCTGGTCATTGAAGGAGCCTGGTCCTAGCCTCTCCCAGCGTCCTTTTTCAGCTAGATCAAAAGGAAATATACCAGGCAGAAGGTTTTATCATCAAAGCCTATAGAAATCTGTGGGAACCAATATTTCCATTTAGATTGCTTCAGCCTCATCAGACTGAAAAGATTTTTCTCTAGTGGGACAGAGGTTGTTAAATCAGCCAATTTGAAAAGCTTTTTCATCCTCACTGAGTTTATCAAAGAAAAGGAATATGGTGTCAAAAAGTTTGTTCACCCCCCAACATGCTTTACTAAGCTCTCAGCTTTTTCTCTTACCAATTATTTTAAAAGTTGTGTTAATTACCACTAGTGATTGTTTAATGGCGATTTTACTGAAAGTAGTTGCCATAGATTTAATTAATGAACCCCAAACTCCTGCTATTTCAAATGCAGGTAAAGCTAAGGAGCAACTATTATGAGGGAGTGAGTATATTATTCACTTCTAGAAGGAGTAAAATAATTTTTTTTCATTTAAAGGCATTAAAATAAATATTTATCTTAGTTGTCTCAGATGACACTGTTCAATACAATTGCTTGTCCAGGCTAAGTTCAGCCTTTCATTCAAAGGGCTCACTGATGCCACAGAGAAGTGTTGAGAAATATTCTGTGTTTATTTTTAGCCTATTTGTACCCATGGCCATCTCAGTTTATTTTTATTCTAAATTCATTTTTGCATTTTCTTAATATGTAAAGTATTCTTATAGAGAATACTTAAATATTCTAATAGGCATTCTTATCATATACTTCCTGGATTTTTGCAGTAGCTTTCACTATAACTGGTATTTTCATCTCTGTTCTTTTCTTTCTGGAAAAAAGAATTCTGCACACAACTTCCAGATTTATCTTCTTGAAACACTGATTTTTAAAAAAATTTTAAGATCCAGGGTACACGTGCAGGATGTGCATGTTTGTTACATAGGTAAATGTGTGCCATGGTGATTTGCTGCACCTACCAACCCACCACCTATTTTTAGCTATTTTTCTTGAGGCTCTCCCTCACCTCACCCTACTGATGGGCCCCAGTGTGTGTTATTCCCCTCCTCATGTCCATCTGTTCACATTGTTCACCTCCCATTTATAAGTGAGAACACGCATTGTTTGGTTTTCTGTGCCTGCCTTCGTTTGCTGAGGATAATGGCTTCCAGCTCCATCCATGTCCCGGCAAAGGACATGACCTCATTCCTTTTATGGCTGCATAGTATTCCATAGTGTATATATACCACATTTTCTTTACCCAGTCTACGATTGATGGGCATTTGATAGATTTCATGTCTTTGCTATTGTGAATAGTGCTGCAATGAACATACGCATGTGTGTATCTTTATAATAGAATAATTTATATTCCTTTGGGTATATAACCGATAATGGGATTGCTGGGTCAAATAGTATTCTGGTTTGAGGAATTGCCACATTGTCTTCCACAGTCGTTGAAGTAATTTACATTCCCACCAAGGTGTAAAAGCGTTCCTATTTCTCTGCAGCCTCGCCAGCATCTGTTGTTTCTTGTCTTTTTAATAATCACCATTTTGGCAGGCATGAGATGGTATCTCATTGTGGTTTTGATTGGCATTTCTCTAATGATCAGTAATGTTGAGCTTTCTTTCATATGTTTGTTGGCTGCTTAAATGTCTTCTTTTGAGAAGTGCCTGTTCATATCCTCTGCCTACTTGTTAATAGGATTGCTTGTTTTTTTTTCTTGTAAATTTGTTTAAGTCCTTTGTATAATAGATTCTGGATATTAGAACTTTGTTAGATGGATAGATTGAAAAAATTTTATTTCATTCTGTAGGGGTCTGTTCACTCTGATGACAGTTTCTTTTGCTGTGCAGAAGCTCTTTAGTTTAATTCGATATCATTTGTCAATTTTAGCTTTTGTTGTAATTGCTTTTGGTGATTTCATCATAAAATCTTTTCCCATGACTATGTCCTGAATGGTATTGCCTAGATTTTCATCTAGGGTTTTCATAGTTTTGGGTTTTACATTTAAGTTTTTAATCCATCTTAACTTAATTTTCGAAAAAGGTGTAAAAAAGGTTTCCACTTTTAATTTTCTGCATGTAGATAGCCAGTTCTCCCAGCACCATTTATTAAGTAGGAAATCCTTTCCCCATGGTTTGTTTTTGTCAGGTTTGTCAAAGAACAGATTGTTGTAGATGTGTGGTCTTGTTTCTGAGTTCTCTATTCTGTTCTATTGGTCTATGTGTCTGTTTTTGTATCAGTACCATGCTGTTTTGGTTACTATAGCCTTGTAGTATAGTTTGAAGTTGGGTTGAGTTATGCCTCAAGCTTTGTTCTTTTTGCTTAGGATTGTCTTGGCTATATGGGCTCCTTTTGGGTTCATATGAATTTTAAAGTAGTTTTTTTCTAATTCTGTGAAGAATGACAATGGTAGTTTAATGGGAATAGCATTGAATCTATAAATTATTTTGGGCAGTATGGCCATTTCATGATATTGATTCTTCCCATCCATGAACATGGAATGTTTCTCCATTTGTTTGTGTCCTCTCTGACTTCCTTGAGCAGTGGTTTATAGTTCTCCTTGAAGAGGTCCCTTACTTCCCTCGTTAGCTGTATTCCTATGTATTTTATTCTCTTTGTGGCAATTGTGAAGTGAGTTCACTCCTGATTCGTCTCTCTGCTTGCCTGTTGTTGGTGTATAGGATTGCTTGTGATTTTTGCACATTGATTTTGTATTCTGAGACTTTGATGAGGTTGCTTATCAGCTTAAGAAGCTTCTGGGCTGAGAAGAAGGGGTTTTCTAAATATAGGGATATAGGGATGTGTCATCTACAAACAGAGACAATTTGACTCCCTCTCTTCTTATTTGAATATGCTTTATTTCTTTCTTTGCCTGATTGCCCTGGCCAGAACTTCCAATAATATGTTGAATAGGAGTGGTGAGAGAGGGCATTTTTGCCTTGTGCCAGTTTTCAAGGGGACTGCTTCTAGCTTTTTCCCATTCAGTATAATATTGGTTGTGGTTTATCATAAATGGCTGTTATTATTTTGAGATATGTTCCTTTGATCTGTAGTTTATTGAGAGTTTTTAACTTGAAGGGATGTTAAATTTTATCAAAAGCCTTTTCTGCATCTATTGAGATAATCGTGTGATTTTTTTCTTTAGTTCTGTTTATGTGATGAATTATGTTTACCGATTTGCATATGTTGAACCAGCCTTGAACCCCAGGGATGAAGCTGACTTGATGATCATGGTTAGATAAGCTTTTTGATGTGCTGCTGGATTCGGTTTGCCAATATTTTATTGAGGATTTTTGCATTAATTTTCACCAGGGATATTGGTATGAAGTTTTCTTTTTTTGTTGTTGTTGTATCTCTGCCAGGTTTTGGTATGAGGATGATGCTGGCCTCATAAAATGAGTTAAGGAAAAGTCCCTCCTTTTCAATGGTTTGGACTAGTTCCAGAAGAAATGGTACCACTCCTCTTTGTACCACTGGTATAATTCCTCTGTGAATCGTCTGGTCCTCGGCTTTTTTTTGGTTGGGAAGCTATTTATTATTGCCTCAATTTCAGAACTCATAATTGGTCTGTTCAGGGATTCAACTTCTTTCTGCTTCAGTCTTGGGAGGGTGTATGTTTCCAGGAATTTATCTATTTCTTCTAGGTTTTCTAGTTTTTTTTTTCTTGTTTTTGTTTTTGTTTTTGCATTGAGGTGTTTATGGTATTTTCTGATGGTTGTTTGTATTTCTGTGAGGTCAGTGGTGATATCCCTTTATCATTTTTTATTTTGCCTATTTGATTCTTCTCTCTGTTATCTTTATTAGTTTAGCTAGTGGTCTATTTTATTAATTTGGTCAGAAAATCAGCTCCTAGATTCACTGATTTTTTTGAAGAGTTTTTTTTGGTCTCTATCTCCTTCAGTTCTACTCTGACCTTGGTTATTTCTTGTCTTCTGCTAGCTTTTGAATTTGTTTGTTCTTACTTCTCTAATTCTTTGAATTGTGATGTTAGAATGTCAATTTGAGATCTTTCTTCCTTTTTGATGTGGGGATTTAGAGCTATAAATATTCCTCTTAACACTATTTTAGCTGTGTCCCAGAGATTCTGGTATGTTGTCTCTTTGTTCTCATTAGTTTCAGAGAACTTCTTGATTTCTGCCTTAATTTTATTATTTACCCAGGAATCATTCAGGAGCAGATTGTTCAATTTCCATGTGTGGTTTTGAGTGAGTTTCTTACTCTTGAGTTCTAATTTGATTGTGCTGTGGTCTGAGAGACTGTTTGTTATAATTTCAGTTTCCTTGTATTTCCTGAGGAGTGTTTTACTTCAAATTATGTGATTGATTTTAGAGTAAGTGCCATGTGGTGCTGAGAAGAATGTATATTCTGTTGCTTTTGGGTGGAAAGTTCAGTAGATATCTATCTGGCCCACTTGATCCAGAGCTGCGTTCAAGACCTGAATATCTTTGTGAATTTTCTGTTTCGATGATCAATCTAATATTGACCATGGGGTGTTATAGTCTCCCACTATTATTTTATGGGAGTCTAATTCTCTTTGTAGGCCTCTAAGAACTTGTTTTATGAATCTGGGTGCTCCTGTATTGGATGCATATATATTTAGGATAGTTAACTTTTCTTGTTGAATTGAACCCTTTACCATTATGTAATGCCCTTCTTTGTCTTTTTTGATCTCTTTTGGCTTAAAGTCTGTTTGTCAGAAACTAGGATTGCAATCCCTGCTTTTTTTCTGCTTTTGATTTGCTTGGTAAGTTTTCCTCCATCCCTTTGTTTTGAGTCTAGTTGTGTGTTTGCGCATGAGATGGGTCTCTTGAATACAGCACACCAATGGGTCTTGACTCTTTATCCAGTTGCCATTCTGTGCCTTTTAATTGGGGCATTTAATGTTGGTGTTATGTGTAAATTTGATCCTGTCATCATGATGCTAGCTGGTTATTTTGCAGACTTGTTAATGTAGTTGCTTCATAGTATCATTGGTCTGTGTACTTCAGTGTGTTTTTGTAGTGTCTGGTAACAGTTTTTCCTTTCCATATATAGTGCTTCCTTCAGGAAATCTTGCAATGCACACCTGGTGGTCATGAATTCCCTTGGCATTTGCTTGTCTGAAAAGGATTTTATTTCTCCTTTGCTTATGAAGCTTAGTTCATCCAGATGTGAAGTTCTGGGTTGGAAATTATTTTATTTAAGAATGTTGAATATTGACCCCCAATCTCTCCTGGTTTGTAGGGTTTCTGTTGAGAAGTCTGCTGTTAGTCTGACAGGCTTCCCTCTATATGTGACCTGGCCTTTCTCTCTGGCTGCCCTTAACTTTTTTTCTTTCATTTTGACCTTGAAGAATCTGACAATTAGATGTATTGGGGCTGATCTTCTCCTGGAGTATCTTACTGGGGTTCTCTGGATTTCCTGAATTTGAATGTTGGCCTACCTTGCTAGGTTGGGGAAGTTCTGGATGATATCCTGAAGTATATTTTCCAACCTGGTTCCATTCTCCTCATTTCTTTCAGGTAACCCAATCAGTTGTAGGTTTGATCTTTTTTACATAATCCCATAGTTCTTGGAGGGTTTTTTTGGTGCCTTTTTATTCTTTTTTCTCTAATCTGGTCTGCCTGTCTTGTTTCAGCAAGCTAGTCTTCAGGCTCTGAGATTCCTCTGCCTGGTCTGTTTAGCTATTGATACTTGTGGTTTCATTGTGAAGTTCTCATGTTGTGTTTTTCAGCTTCATCAGGTCATTTATGTTTCTCTCTAAACTGGTTATTCTGGTTAACATCTCCTGTAATGTTTTATCATGGTTCTTAGTTTCTTTGCATTGGGTTAGAGCATACTCCTTTAGCTCAGTGAAGTTTGTTATTACCCACCTTCTGAAGCCTACTTCTCTGTCAGTTCATCCATCTCATCTCAGCCCAGTTCTGTGCTCTTGCTGAAGAGGTGTTGCAATCATTTGGAGGAGAAGAGGCACTCTGGCTTTTTCGGTTTTTAGCACTTTTGCATTGATTCGTCCTCATCTTGGTGAACTTATTTACCTTTGATCTTTGGGGCTGCTGACCCTAGGACATGGTTTTTGTGGGGTAGTTTTTGTTGATATTGCTGTTGCTTTCTATTTGTTTGTTTGCTTTTTTGTTTAACAGTCAGGGCCCTCTGCCCATAGGACTGCTGCAGTTTGCTGGGGGTCCACTCCAGAACCCATTCACCTGGGTCCCTCCCACACCTGGAAGTGTCACCAGTGGAGGCTGCAGAATGGCAAAGATGGCTTTCTGTTCCTTTCTCTGAGAGCTCTACCTCAGAGGGGCACCAACCTGATGCCGGCCAGAACTCTACAGTATATGGTGTCTGGTGACCCCTGTTAGGAGGTCTTACCCAGTCAGAAGGCACAGGATCAGGAACCCACTTAATGAAGCACTCTGACTGCCTCTTGGCAAAATAAGTGTGCTGCACTGGGGGAAATGCCCCTCATCTGGACTGTCTGGACTCCTCAGAGCCAGCAGGCAGGAAAGACTAAGTCTGCTGAACCGTGGAGACTGCAGCCACCCCTTCCACCCCAGGGGCTTCCTCTCAGGGATATCAGCGTTCTGTTCATAAACCCCTGGCTGGAGTTGCTGAAATTCCCACAGGGAGGCCCTGCCTGGTGAGGAGGAATGGATCCAGGTCCCACCTAAATAAGTAGTCTGGCCACAATCTGCCATAGCTACTGTGCTGTGCAGTGGGGAATTCTTCCCAGTCCAAACCACCCAGTCTCCCCAATACTGGCAGGGGAAAATGGAAGACTGGAGCTGCAGTGATGGCAGCTGCCCCTCCCTCTGGAAATTTGGTTGCCTTAGGCAGTCTCCAGCCTGCTACCGCTGGCTGAAACCTGAGTGACCACCGAGCATCTGCATGGCTCTGTGCTTGGGACCCAAGGCCCTGGTGGCATGGGCTCATGAGGGGATCTCCTGATCTGTGGGTTGCACAGATCCATGGAAAAAGCATGGCTTCCCAGGCAGGGTAGCATAACCACTCACCACATCCCTTGGCTGGGGTGGGAGCTCTCTTTGCCCTGTGAGGCTCCTGGGTGGGCCGTCAGTCCACTCTGTTTCTTCTTGCTCTCTGTGGGTTGTGCCAACCCCATAGTTAGTCCCAATGAGAACACCTGGATACCTCAGCTGAAGGTGCAGGATTCACTCACCGTTTTTTGTTCGTCTTGAAACACTGATTTTAGTCAGGTGCTTACCTACTCAAAAACCTTCATTGACTCTTCCATGCATATTTGATCAACTCCAAAATTCTTTATCTTATAATTAAGTGCTTCTTACACAGTAGTCCTAACCTGTCTTGACTCCACCTTTATCTTCCATTATTTGCCAGTAGAAACTATTTTCTATCTAGGTCTCTTGAAATAGAAAAACATTCATTAAAAGTAAAACACACTTTATAACATTGGCTTTGGCAATGATTTCTTGGATATGGTACCAAAAGCATAAGCAACCAAAGAAAAAATAGATAAACTGGATGATACCAACATTAAGATTTTCTGTGCATCAAAGAGCATAATCAGCAACATGGAAAGGCAACCTATGGAATGGGAGAAAATATCTGTGAATCATATGTCTGATAAGGCATTAATCTGAATTATATAAAGAACTAGTACAACGCAACAACAACAAAACAAACAACTCAATGAAAAAAATGGGCAAAGAGCTTAAATGGACATTTCTCCAAAGAAGATATACAAATGGCCAATGAAAAGATGTGCCATATCACTAATCATTAAGGAAATGCAAATCAAAACCACAAGGAAATACCACCTTGCATGCATTAGGATAGCTACTATAAACACAAAAACAAAACAAAGCCAGGAAATAGCAAGCGTTGGTGAGATTATGGAGAAAATGGAATCTTTGGGCCCTGTTCATGTGGATGTGAAATGATAGAGCTACTGTGGACAACAGTATGAAAGTTTCTCCAAACGTTAAAAGAATTTACCATACGATTCAGCAATTTTATTAGTAGGTATATACCCCCAAAAAATGGAAGTAGAAACTTGAAAGAATATTTGTACATTCATGTTCATAACAGCATTCATAATAGCCAAGGCCTGAAAACAACCTGCAGATGAATGTCCAACAGATGAATGGACAAACAAACTAGCATATACATACAATGGAAAATTATTCAGCCTCAAAAAGGAAGGGAATTCTTTCTGGTACATGCTACAACACAGAAGAATCTTGAGGATATTATGCTGAGTAAAATAAGCCAGTCAGAAAAGGACAAATACCATATGACTCCATTTGTATGAAGTACCTAGTCAAATTTGTACAGGTAGAAAGTAGAAGCTGGGCATGGTAGCTCACACCTGTAATCCCAGCACTTTGGGATGCCCAGGTGGGTGGATCACAAGGTCAGGAGATTGAGACCATCCTGGCTAACACAGTGAAACCCTGTCTCTACTAAAAATACAAAAATTAGCTGGGTGTGCTGGCACGTGCCTGTAGTCCCAGCTACTTGGGAGGCTGAGGCAGGAGAAACGCATGAACCCGGGTGGCGGAAGTTGCAGTGAGCCGAGATTGCACCACTACACTCCAGCCTGCAGCCTGGGTGACAGAGCAAGACTCCGTCTCAAACACAAAAACAAAAAAAGTAGAATGGTAGTTGCCAGGGATTGAGGGAGTAAGTAATAGGGAGTTATAGTTTAATGAGTACAGTGTTTCATTTTGCAAGATAAAAACCATTCTGGAGATGGATAATAGAGCTAGTTATACAAGAATGTGAATATATGTCACTAAGCTGCATACTGAAAAATGGGTAAGATGGTCAGGCGCGGTGGCTCACACCTGTAATCCCAGCACTTTGGGAGGCCAAAGCAGGTGGATCACCTGAGGTCAGGAGTTTGAGACCAGCCTGGCCAACATGGTGAAACCCCCTCTCTACCAAAAATACAAAAATTAGCTGGGCGTGGCAGCAGGCGCCTGTAATCCCAGCTACTGGAGAGGCTGAGGCAGGAGAATTGCTTGAACCTGGAAGGTGAAGGTTGCAGTGAGCCGAGATTGTACCACTGCACTCCAGCCTGGGCAACAGGAGCAAAACTCCATCTCAAAAAAAAAAAAAAAAATGGTTAAGATGACATGTTTTTTGCTTAGTGTGTGTATATTACCACAATTATTTTTAAAAAGTAAACCAAAACACAAATAGTAATAACATGCAAAAAGGAATACAACACCCAATGCCCAAATTTTGGTTTCTACATATTATTCTCGAATAAAAGAAACTAAGGCTCCTTGGAGAAGTGGCTGTTTCTAGGACTGCAGCAGGTAAAGGACCAGGTGAGCCTGGAGCTTCTTACAGTGCCAAAAAGAAGTGAAGTGCTAAAAGAAACAAATGGAGCAAAACAAAAAATGGGGCATGTCAAAGGGATGTAGGAGTCAATTGAGAGGGCCAACTGTCCAAAGCAGGATTAATTTGAGCAACAAAGTAAATAATGTAGCATTGGACCCAAAGTATAAAATAAATATCTCTGAGCCCATACTAATATAAATCAACGTATGAGTAAATCAGTAAATGGAGGAGATGGGGCAAATCTTCCTTATGGAAGAATTCTAAATATAATATATAGACACTCTCTCCTCCTGGAAGTGGAGCTTAATTCCCCTCTCCTCCTGGAGGAGAGAGTGTAACTGGCGTAGTGAATGGAGTGTGGAAAGGAGAAAAATAGTAATTTTGCAGTGGGGAAGCCTGGCACACACTACCTTAATCAAAGTTAGCACCACTGACAATTAGGGTTGCTATCATACTCACTTACATGATGTGATGAGAAGGGCACTTCTCTGTAACATTCTTCTCCCAAGCCCATAACCCCAATCTAACCATGAGGAAAATAGACAATCTAAAATTGAGGGGTATTTTACAAAATACATGACCAGTACTCTTCAAAGTTGTCAAAGTCATTAAAAACAAGAAAAGACTGAGAAACTATCGTAGGAAACTAATGGGACATATGACTAAGTGTAATATAGTAACATGGATGGGATTCTGGTGCAGAAAAAGGAAATTATTAGTAAAAGAACTGTAGAAAGCTGGAATAAATCTAGAGCTTATTTGATAATATGTGCCAATGTCAATTTCTTAGTTTTGACGAATGAACCATGGTTATTTAAGTTGTCAAATTAGGGGAAACCAGGGGAAGGACATACAGGAACTCTGTGGACTATCCTTACAACTCTTCTATAAATGTAAAAACTGTTTTAAAATAAAACTTCATTTGAAAAAAAGAAATACAAAATTCTTGCTTTTGCATGATAAACTATCATCTCAAACCAATAGCCAATCAGATGTTTATGGATATTGAAAATATTTTTTTCAAAAAATTAGCAAAAAATCTAGGAAATTATGAAATAATATATCATTTTATTAAGCTATCATAATGGAGTCTATTATATAGTAAGTGTCCCATTAGTAAAAAATGTTATCACTATCACTTAATATTGTTTCAGAAGTACTAATACTTGAATGTGAAACAAAATCGTATTTTGGGAAGAAAATTTATTTCTATTATTGTACATTATTTCTATTATACAGCATTTGTTCATCCCTGCAAACAGTAAAGAACCAACTGAATAACTATTATTAGTAGAAATTAGCTATAATTCTTAGAAAAGTTTAATGATGTGGCTTGGCACAAGATAAATATATGCATTTAATTAATAACTTTCCTAGGCACCAGCAATAACCATCTGCATAAATACACTGAAAAAAGAAATCATTAATAGACTCAAAGAATATAAACTATCTAGGAATATGTGCTATAAAATAGAGAAATGAAAAAAATTATGGTTTCTGTATACAATGTAATATTATGCAGGCATTTATAGCTGTATTTTTAGGAGAATTTGAAATAACAAGTCAGATGTCTGACACTATAAAGTTAAGTGAAAATTCGAGATGTTGAAATAGTAAGTAGTTTCATAACTGGGAGAAAAATATCCAAATAAAAAGTCCCCAAACTTGATCCACTTGATAATCAGATAAAAATGGTTGAAGAGTAAAACCTCTCAGAAGAGGTGGGACAAGAAGTGAATAGTTTTTTTTAAAGGCGAGGCATTTGATTCTTCATATATTTAATGAGGAGTTTTTATTTGAACAGATATGAACCAGTCTGGCCATTTATAGTTGTTGACTGCTTTTTTTTGTGGATGTCAAGTGGTCCCGTTAGACAGAGACAGGGAGGTTAAGTTTGAGATGTACGTTAAACTCATGAAAGGAGTTAGTGAATGAGCAATCGAGTAAAAAGCAGAGAGAGGTCTGAACGGATGATATAAATTTGGAGGTCACTGAATGCTGGTTCAAATCACAGGCCTAAATAAGATCAACTGTGAATGTGAGGATAGAGAAGAAAAGTGAGCTGATTTTGAGCCCAGACCAATTCAACAATTTTCTCTTTGACTTGACTTCAAAAATTTAATTTAGAAATGAAAATAGTTACTGCATTAACTGCATTAGCATATTTTGAGGATTTTGCATGTTTAGAATTATGAATTACTTGAGACCTACACTGGAAAGAATGTAGAACAATGGGAATACTTACGCATTGCTGATAGAAGCCTAAGTTGGTACAACCACTTTGGAAAACAATTTGGCACTACCTAATGAAGTCCAGGCTGGGTTTTCTTTTTGTACTCAATTTGCATCTGAAGACAGAACAATCATATATTTGTATCTGTATACATTGAACTGGTTTGAATGTTCCTGCTTGCTTGAAAATTTCTTGTTTTTCCTAATTATCTTTTCAATGGATAAATGGAAAAAAGAAGCAGCAGAAGCAGAAAGAGAAGCAGGAGGAGGAGGAGGAGTCGTCATCATCACCATAGGGTGACATAAAATGAGGCCACATGATATATTTCAAAGGCTCCACAACTCAGGTTAACTCATACCTCAACTACTAGTCTTTAAGATGTATGTGGTATAAAAGTTGGCTGATTGTTTCCTGTATAGTGGGCAGGGTTGGTACAGACAATCTAGGATGGATGTGGAATTAGTTACCTGACTAGAACGGGTATGGTTGGAGTATGTATCAGGAGTTGGATGGAAAACTGAAGAGTGACAGAAGTATCTTGACCAACTTTGGTATTGTCTTTTGAGTTTTGCACTTTATTCTAAAGATTGTAACACACCATCATATTCAAAGTTGCTTTTAATAAATTCCTACTTAAAAAAGACATATGATAAGTGTTGCAGGAAACACAAACAAGCAAACATTTGTACATTAATAGCCTTCCAAAGAATAAATCTTTGTGCCAGAAGGTGAAATTGATTGAAAGGTTTTGTCCATTCCAGGCACAACTTTGGCTCTTTGCAATTTCTATAAATGCCAAACATAAGTGGAAATCTGCTGTGACATGTATTCAATAATAAAATTGTCCCTCACGTGGACATTGCACCTGAGGCTTTGACAAAATATCCTTCTAACAGTGTAGTGCAACCTGATACCCATCCCCAAAGACTGGGCTGAGCCTTAAGTCATTGCTTCACCCCAAATAAAATGTTCTTATTTCTTCCCCCTTCGCCTGTGCTCTTTATTTCTATTAAACTTCTTTGTAAATGTATGCTCTGTAAAGTTAAGAGTGAGAGAATGCAAGTGCTGCCGGAAAGAATGAAGAGTTCACAAGCTTAGAACAGAAAGGGAGTTACTAAACTATTAAGCTCAATTAACAAGTGAAAAATGAACTAAGTTGTTCCAGAGTGATTTTTAATTCTGTCAAATAAAGAGGAACCAGACTGCAGGGTAAACTCTTATTTATTAGTTTTGGGTAATGAGGTTTTCCATAAGCAGAATTTCTTAAATTTTATTGAATCCATAAAATCACCAGTTGGAAATCTGGTTTTTCCCACCAGAGTAGGATTTTAATGGAGCATACAGAAAACACCCAAGTGCTGTAAAGTAACTGTATGGAGGTGAAATGGTCTATGAGTTATATTATTGGCCTGGCTGACAGGGTTTCAGAAGTCCTTCATTTGAATTTAATCTCTACTATGTACCTCTTGTGCATTAATTTTTACCTTGAGGATAATGGTTCTGTACTTTCTTTATGGTTATTACCAAGGAACCATGATAAAAATAGTAATGTCAGGGCCTCCCTGTTCTAGCCTCAGACTGAACAGAACACCGCTATGTGGAGTGTATGCCGACGGGTCCTAAACCTCTGCTAAAGAAGGATCAAGGCACAGGTGCGACAACCCCCTTATAGTACAGATAGCTTTGCTGTACTCCATGGCCAAAGGGCACATCTTACCCTAGTCTACTGCCTTGTGAACACCTGCCTTCATTTATAAAAGAGTCAAGGGAAAAAGCATGCTGGAGGAGCATAAATCCGTCCCCACAACTCGAAAATGGCATAAAGAACCTGCTTTGAAGATAGTCAATACTTCCTTCCTTATTTCTGAAGTTATTGGCAGTAAAGGAAATTCCTTTAGTGTGAGACCAGTCTTCATATCTCTGTTTGCATTATGTGTTTTTAAAGACACACACACAAAATGAAATAATGAGGGCTTGGAAATTGTCAACTAACTTTTGCAAGACTGCCTAGATCAAGTGTAATGTTTCTACACTTGTCTTTGTTAAATGAAAGACATATGATGTGGTTCAAAAGTTGTGTACCCCAGTGTACAGAACTTATCAGAAGAATTGATTTTCAGTCCTACTAGTGAGACTATATTTAGCTATCAAATGGACTGCTTTGCCTAAATTCTATAGTGCTTCAAGCCAGGCATATCAAGAAACCAATTGTATACTTCCCTTCTCTCGCCAAAAACTCTTTTGCTACTTCCACCTCATAAATGGTAATCCCAAGGGTAAATTAGAGTTTTGTGGGGTCTGGAGCATGTAAAATATAAAGCTCTTTTTAAGAGTTTTTTTTTTTTTCCTAATTGTTGCCTACTGTACCATGTTAATTGCAGAATAACTGTAGGAATGGTATTGATGATAGATTCATTCCACTACTCCAGGGAGCTGTGCTTTTCTAGTATTTTCTCCTACCTGGTAAACCTAAGGGCCACATCCCTCCAAAGATGTGTCCTGTGTGAGTGGACAGTCAGGCATGGCTGCAGGTAGATTGTACCAGCTGATGGTAGCCATGGCCTCACCCTTACTGCCTGCTTTTCCAACTTAAGAGTGTTTATCATGGAAGCTTCTGTGTCCTGAATTAGGCTTATACCTTAGACTTAGATGTTGGACTGGCTGTTTCTAGCCTCAGGACATTTTCCATCCAATAGTAATACCTGGCTTCTTGCCAGGTGGCCCAGGTATCCTCAAAGGCACATGAGAGATCTCTGTTACTCCCCTTTCTACCACCTTCAGGGTCTAGCTCCATAAGGCACATTGGAACTCCGTGGTAGCCCCAATGCCCTGTTACCCACTCATCTGACGTCCCATTGAAAATGTGTTCTAGATAAAACAGCAATCTCCTGGGAATCTTATCCTGTTACATATTTTTTTTCTGAAAATAATTATCTCCAATTTTATGATATAACACATAGTCATTTAAGCATTATCAAAAGCCTAGGAATTTAAGGCCAGCCAGGGCAACATAGTGACATCTCCATTTCTAAACACCACCCCCCCAACACACAAACTTCCACCTTCTGGTTCTTCCATGAACATTTCCCACTGCCATTTTTTATTTTATTTTATTTGTAGTCAAGAGAGAGAAGGAGACTGAAAAAATAGCATTCATTTTATTGGAAAAGAAACAGCAAATACCCCAAACTGGTTATTAGTTTCTTATAAGTCTATGTCATTCTTTCAATGAATAACAGTTTTATGTTTTTCTCAGCTTAAGGTATAAATTTCTCTGTAGTCTTTTTTTTTTTTTCCTCAAACTCTTTCTTTCCTTTCCTTTTTTTTTTTTTTTTTTTGAGACCAAGTTTCGCTCTTGTTGTCCAGGCTGGAGTGCAGTGGCACAATCTTGGCTCACTGCAACCTCTGCCTCCCATGTTCAAGTGATTCTCCTGCCTCAGCCTCCCGACTAGCTGGGATTACAGATGCGCACCACCATGCCTGGCTAATTTTTGTATTTTTAGTAGAGATGGGGTTTCACCATGTTGGCCAGGCTGGTCTTGAACTCCTGACCTCAGCCTCCCACCCGCTTCAGCCTCCCAAAGTGCTGGGATTACAGGCCTGGCCCTCAAACTCTTAATATTGATGCTTGTATTATGGTTGTTTCTCAAATTTGCTTTAAGAATTGGTCATTTCTGGATAAAGAAAATGTGGCACATATACATATCAAATACTATGTAGCCATAAAAAAGAATGTGTTTATGTCCTTGCAGGACATGGATGAAGCTGGAAGCCATCATTCTCAGCAAACTAACGTAGGAACAGAAAACCAAATACCGCCTGTTCTCACCCATAAGTGGGAGTAGAACAATGAAAACACATGGGAGGGGAACATCACACACCGGGGCCTCTTAGTGGGTGGAGGGCAAGGGGAGGGAGAGCATTAGGACAAATACCTAATCCATGCAGGGCTTAAAACCTAGATGACGGTTTGATAGGTGGAGCAAACCACCATGGCACATGTATACCTATGTAACCCGCACGTTCTGCACACGTATCCCAGAACTTAAAGTAAAATAAAATTAAAAGAAAAAAAGAATTGGTCATTTATTCCTGGATCCCCTTCTCAAGACTCAGAGCATTAGCATAATAAAGGTTTTGAAGGGGAGGAGGTCAGGAGAAAAGATAAAATATTTAAATTACAAGTAATACAGCTATTAGTTTTGAAGTCATAGACTGTAGAAAATAAGATGATATATACATATAATTGATATTGCTCACTGAACCAATTTACTAAAATTAACAACAGTGAAAATTACCAGCCTTTGAAAGATATGCTGCATCAAGACTTTCTATACTCATTAGTTGAAATGATCTCCCTGTAGTCTCTGGAGTTGTAACACACCAATTGATAAACAGGCACTCTTAATACTTGAAGCATGAGCATCCCTGATGATTACAGACAACCACTGTCTCCAGTTTTGCCTGTGGGATATTCCAGTAAAGGTCAAGTCCATAAAATGGAAACATGGTTGGTATGAAAATAAGCTTCTGAAAATAATTTCTGTCATACTGAAAAAAATAACAAACCATCAATTCCAAGCTTTAGAACTTTCTAATTTTTTTGGCAACTGCAACTTTAGCTCTTCTTTATGTAACACTTTCTGCCCTTAACATTCTATTAGTTTTGTGCCTTCAAGTAAACACAATTCACCCACCCTGTCCTATAATTACCTAATGCTGAATAATCAGGTTTGTATACACTTTGGGATTTCATGATTTTTTCTAACACACCTAGAACACAAAATGGACAGATCCATTATGATTATCAGCATTTTCTTTTTTAGTTATCTAATAGTTTCGATCATTTTCTAACATCCTCAGAAAGTCATTTTTACTGTCTTTCCCTGTGTCATGAAGACACTTAAAACCAAGGATACATTGGACTTCACCTTTTTTGTTGTCATTACTGGGCATGACAGGCTTCTGCTGAGTTCTCTTAAGTTGAGCTACTCTTTGATTTGTGAGCAAAGGTTTAAAAGGCTAAAAAGGGGGAAATTGGTTCAATATTTCAAGCACAATGAAACATTTCTTTTGTCACTTTATTTCCCTGCTGTATTAATTTGTGGTTACTCACCTTCTCCTCGGATCCCCAAGGGAACCCCAAATCTGACTCTCTATGATCTGACATATGAACCCAAACATTTCTCCCAATAAATTACATCTCCTGTGTAATAAAACAAAATTGGCTGCTTTGGGGTATAGCAGAATATTTCAGGCACCATTTGGCCACAGTTTGGTTCGTTGCTCATATACATTCTGATGATGGGGATCTCTGTGGCCTAGGTTGGTCTGGGAAGAGGAATGTTGAGTTCACTCACTGGACCAAACAATGCAGGAATGTTTTTTCCCTGTCCATTCACTTAAACAATGTGCCATTCTGTACCTTATAAGCACTTAATTTATTCCAACTCTTTGGCCTGACCTGTAATCCCCTTCTCCTTACCCATCTGACCCATCTGTGTTTCATTTCCCACTCATCAGCATCCAAAGAGCTAGGCCCAGGGCCTGTTTGGAACCATTAGACAGAGATTGGCACTCTTCCCTCTTCCTGCGCCACATCCTCCACTGGAAAAAAAATGACCATCAGATCAGA